>NC_000007.14:93718900-94021930 GCF_000001405.40 Homo sapiens | reverse complement strand
ACAAAACAGACAATGCAACATACTATGTGCTGAGATTGCAAAAGCTGAGATTTTATGATTTTTTTCTTTTAATCAAAAACTTTTCAAATTTTATGAATTGGCATTACAAATACTCTACAATCCCATAAAGAGTTAGCAGAGATGCTAAGAACCAAGACTGAAAACAGATGAAAAAAGGTAATATAAATAGGCTCACAAGTGACTCAGATATTAAACCTACTCATTAAAACAATCATAACAAATATTTTTAAAAATAGGTGAAAAATCATGAGGATCAGACAGCTTCACCAGTAAATTCTTCCATATACATAAGGAATTAGGCCACCTAACCTTGATTATAACATCTGACATTATTACAGAAAAAGAAAATTACAGATGAGTTTCTCTCATTAATAAAAATATATAAATCTTTAACAATTTTTCAAATCAAATTCAACAATATATAAAAACTAATACTGTACTAGATTCTGACAAGTTAAGTTTAACCTGAGAATGCAGAGTTGTTTCAACATTTGAAGATCAATGTAATTCAGCAAATTAAAAGAAGATTTTACAAGCTGATTATCTCATTTGCTTCAGAACAGAATGTGATAAAATTCAACAACCACTTGGCAAGCTAGAAATATAAACTTCTTTAATCTGACATTGTTTTTAAAAAAAAAAAACAAAGAAAATGTTATACTTAATGTTTTAATAGTCAAAGTTTTCACCTTGAATTTGTAAATGAGATTACCATTGTTCAACATTATAGTGGAGGTCCTAGCCAGTGAAATATAGGAAAAAAAGGAAAATAAACAAAAGACCTAGGGATTATAAATGAAGAAATAAAACTGTTTACTTTTTTTTTAGAATAATTTATCTCACTTTATTTTTTTTCTCTCTCTCTTTTTTTATTATACTTTAACTTCTAGGGTACATGTGCACAATGTGCAGGTTTGTTTCATATGTATACATGTGCCATGTGGGTGTGCTGCACCCATTAACTCGTCATTTACATTAGGTATTTCTCCTAATGCTATCCCTCCCCCTCCCCCAACCCCATGACAGGCCACAGTGTGTGATGTTCCCCACCCTGTGTCCAAGTGTTCTCATTGTTCAGTTCCCAACTATGAGTGAGAACATGCGGTGTTTGGTTTTCTACCCTTGTGATAGTTTGCTCAGAATGATGGTTTCCAGCTTCATCCATGTCCCTACAAAGGACGTGAACTCATCCTTTTTTATGGCTGCTTAGTATTCCATGGTGTATACGTACCACATTTTCTTAATCCAGTCTATCATTGATGGACATTTGGGTTGGTTCCAAGTCCTTGCTATTGTGGATAGTGCCACAATAAACATACGTGTGCATGTGTCTTTACAGCAGCATGATTTATAATCCTTTGGGTATATACCCAGTAATGGGATGGCTGGGTCAAATGGAATTTCTAGTTCTAGATCCTTGAGGAATCGCTACACTGTCTTCCACAATGGTCGAACTAGTTTACACTCCCACCAACAGTGTAAAAGTGTTCCTATTTCTCCACATTCTCTCCAGCACCTGTTGTTTCCTGACTTTTTAATGATCGCCATTCTAACTGGTGTGAGATGGTATCTCATTGTGGTTTTGATTTGCATTTCTCTGATGGCCAGTGATGATGAGCATTTTTTCATGTGTCTGTTGGCTGCATAATGTCTTCTTTTGGGAAGTGTCTGTTCATATCCTCCACCCACTTTTTGATGGGGTTGTTTGATTTTTTCTTGTAAACTTGTTTAAGTTCTTTGTAGATTCTGGGTATTAGCTCGTTGTCAGATGGGTAGATTGTAAAAATTTTCTCCCATTCTGTAGGTTGCCTGTTCACTCTGATGATAGTTTCTTTTGCTGTGAAGAAGCTCTTTAGTTTAATTAGATCTCATTTGTCAATTTTGGCTTTTGTTGCCATTGCTTTTGGTGTTTTAGTCATGAAGTCCTTGCCCATGCCTATGTCCTGAATGGTATTGCCTAGGTTTTCTTCTAGGATTTTTATGGTTATAGGTCTAACGTTTAAGTCTTTAATCCATCTTGAATTAATTTTTGTATAATGTGCAAGGAAGTGAACCAGTTTCAGCCCTCTACATATGGCTAGCCAGTTTTCCCAGCACCATTTATTAAATAGGGAATCCTTTCCCCATTTCTTGTTTTTGTCAGGTTTGTCAAAGATCACATGGTTGTAGATATGCGGTATTATTTCTGAGGGCTCTGTTCTGTTCCATTGGTCTATATCTCTGTATTGGTATCAGTACCATGCTGTTTTGGTTACTGTAGCCTTGTAGTATAGTTTGAAGTCAGGTAGCATGATGCCTCCAGCTTTGTTCTTTTGGCTTAGGATTGTCTTGACAATGCAGGCTCTTTTTTGGTTCCATATGAACTTTAAAGTAGTTTTTTCCAATTGTGTGAAGAAAGTAATTGGTAGCTTGATGGGGATGGCATTGAATCTATAAATTACCTTAGGCTGTATGGCCATTTTCATGATATTGATTCTTCCTATCCATGAGCATGGAAGGTTCTTCCATTTGTGTCCTCTTTTATTTCGTTGAGCCGTGGTTTGTAAAATAGTTTACTTTTTATAGACAACTTACTTTAATCAGTGGGTAATCTTTTATTTCATTTTTATATAGCATCAACAGTTGGAAAATGAAATACTTAAGAAAGATATAATTTACAATCGCATAAAAAATATCAATACGTAGGGATGCATGTAGTAAAAATTTTGCCAGATCTCTATACAGAATACTATAGAACAGTATGTAAGCAATCTCAACATAATTAGGATGGATATATAGTGTTTAAGAATTGGAAAACTCTATGCTGTTAAGTATATTATTGCTGATTTAATGCAATACAATCCCAGTCAAAATACTAAATTTTTGAAGTGAAACTTGACAGCTGTTTCTAAAAGTTATATGGAAATACAAAGGGGCAAGAAGTTCTGAGATATTTTTTAAGAAGAAATACATGGTAGGGAGACTTGCTTTACTGAGTGTTAAGTTATATTATAAAGCTATTTAAGATAGTGCATTGATGCTGCAAGTATAAAAGAACAGACCAATGGAATAGGTAAAGAGTTCATAAAAAGGCCACATATATTGTGGTACTTGGTTTATGAGAAAATTACCATTACACAGGATTGGGGGAAAGGACAGTATTTTCAGTAAGAATGATAATGAAAAAAATGGGTATCCATACTGAAAAAAAATACAACTTGATTCCTACTTCATCTCCTACATAAAACCAATTACATTTAAAGTATAGGTATAAATGTGAAGGACAAAAAAACTAATTATTTAGAATTACAGGAGAATATCTTTATGACCTCAAGGTGGAAAAAGTTTTCTCAAACAGAATATAGAATATTCTAACTATAAAATAATAGAATTTCTGTTTGTCAAAGGGCATTACTTAGTAGTAAAATAAGGTAATACAAAGAATGGAAAGAGTTATTTGCAACACATATGGCAAACATAGGCCTTGGAAAGGGAATATATGGAGACCTCCTACAAATAAATAATGACCGATACAATAAAAAGGGGGCAGAAAACTTAAACAGGCATTTAATAAAAGAGGATATTCAAATGGCTCAAAAACATGAAAATGTGTTCAATCTCATTAGTAATAATAGGAGTGCAAAATCAATTAAAATACGTACCATTATTTGTTCATTTCATAAAGAGTTTGGCATCATCTTATACATTTAGAATACAACTATACAATGACCCGACAATTCCACTCCTGTATTTTATACACTAGGGAAATACATGAAACTGTATCATGTGAAAATGACAAGACCGTTCAAAGTCAAGTTATTTGCAACAATTCCAAACTGGAAACAAATCAGATGTCTAATAATTAAAGAATAGATTAATAACTGTGATACAGCAATAAAAATAAAGAAATGAAATATAGCTATATATACCAATGTTGAACTTTTAAGAACATACCATTGAGCAAAACAAATCAGTCACAGAATACAAACAAAACTATCATGTTTAACAAAAAAAACTATCATGTTTAAGAAGGAAAAATCCATCATAAAGCTATATTTAAAAGAGGCAAGTAAAAGTTCTAACATGAGAGCACTACAAAGGGTGTTGATAATATTCTGTTTTTATTACCCAGGTGTTTGCTTTATAAGAATTTGCTATGCCATATATCAGAGTTATATGCACTTTCTCTATATATGTAGTATTTTACAATAATGGGTTTATACAAACTGATTTATTATCGTATGAAAAAGGGATGAGACTCCTTTCACCATTAAATAAATTCCTACAACTTTTTTTATTTTTGCTTGTGACAGTTATTTAACTCATCTATGTATTTTCTGAAAGTTATATTAATATATTCACAGAAATCTTTCTGAAACACTTGTATAAGTAATATAGTTTTTTTAAATAAAAACTTGTTATCAGTTACCATTTTCATATAGCTGTCCCAAAGTTTAATGACTTAAATTGACAGCCAAATTGTCCTGATTCTGATGACTGGCAATTTTTAAATTTAGGTATCATTCTTTTCTTACTTAAAATACATTGTAGAAATCCCTCCAAATGAACTCATATAAACATATATTTTATTTAATGGCTTTATATATTCAATAGTATGAATATGACATAATTTATTTAGCTTTTTTCATTAATGATGCACATTTACTTTATTTCTAGGTTCCCACTACATGCTTTGAGAAACTATAAACTATGTTGATTTTCATGTTCTTTTTTTTCTGAAACTGTTTCAAGTATATTCCAATAGGTATAATTTGCATGACCCAACTATACTCTGGTTTTACAACTCATTGTTACCCTTGAGTAAAGAAGCATAAAGCTCAGTTGTGGATACATGCTTTAAGACTTCACATTCATGTGAACTATTACTTTGGAACTTGGAGGTTATCAATCGCCTTGCAATACAGGATTGCATTAATCTCTTGGATAATATTTAACTTTCTTTATATGGACTCCTAATCTCACTAACAGGTTTGTAAAATCTTTAACAGTAGGAACCATGGCTTATATTTCTTTGTATCCACCAGAGTGATAAGCTTATAGGAGACATTTAGTAAATGCTTCTTGAATATGTCTTAAGTGGCTAGAAGTTTAGAGAAGGATTGATTACTCTTATTTACAGTGATAAAGATAAATCTATGGGACGAAGACAATTTAACCTGAGCCTTACAGGGCAATTATGGCTAATTTTAAGAGTTCAGGCCAGGCGCTGTGGCTCACGCCTGTAATCCCAGCACTTTGGGAGGCCGAGGTGGGTGGATCACGAGGTCAGGAGATCAAGACCATCCTGGCTAACACCCCGTCTCTACTAAAAATACAAAGAATTAGCCAGGCGTGGTGGCGGGCGCCTGTAGTCCCAGCTACTCAGGAGGTTGAGGCAGGAGAATGGCATGAACCCGGGAGGTGGAGCTTGCAGTGAGCTGAGATCGCGCCACTGCACTCCAGCCTAGGCGACAGAGTGAGACTCTGTTTCAAAAAAAAAAAAAAAGAGTTCAGAAAAAAGTTCTTTCTAATTTTAAAGTAAGTATGCATGTTTATCAGTCACTTCTACCTGGAGAATATTATTGTGTTCAATGAGCATATCGAATAAAAATATTAGGAAGTATATTATTCCATGTAGTTAACCCAAAAATAAATACATCTCTTTCCCAAGTTATACTGATTGTTTATATTATGTGTTTGACTAGGTTTGGGGCATGTGACTTTTTTCTTTATGTATAATTCCTTTTGAAATGGAAGCAATAACTTCTTTTGAAATAAAGAATCACAGTAAATAATTTTCTGTAAGAAGGAAAATGGTGGATTGTACACACAAAAAATAATTTTTTCTTGCATATTTTATCTTTCATCCTTTGTTCTTAAGAAATATTTCAAATGATGACTGCAAAAATGTCCTTCAAATTAATGAATAGTGCATTGCATTATTTAAGAGTTTTTGTTTTAGATGTCAGAATTGATGCATTAGATATGGGAGTAGCCTTTTAATTCTAAAGAAACAATTTTTAAATTTCAGCCTATTACATCATTCTTATATATTAAACTATCCATGACCATTTATCCATCCATGTCATGTTTATTTTATCCATGAACTATAAAAAAATGATTTTTTTTTTGGCCAACAATCAGGAAATTACACTTAACTTAGGGTGGATAAACCCCTAGAAACAAGCACTATCAGCAAAATTTCCTCAACCTGATTGAATATTGAACACTCTTTGGGTTTTAAATGTTAAAAATCCAATTTAATGGCAATTGAAGCAAAAACAAAACAAACAAAACTATAGGAGTTTACTGACAAATAACTTAGTACAAATCTGAGGTTAGGCATGGCTGGATTCAGAGTCCAAACAATATCATTATAATCCTCTATCTCATTTCTCTATTTCCATCTCCATCTCCACCTCTATTTTTATCTCCATCATAATCAGTTTTGTGTGTCAAGCCTTCCCTGTGTTTGCCTCATTCTATCCTACTATGGATACCTTTTCTTCTTGAGTTAGGAAAAATGTCTTCTAGCAGTCTTCAGATTTTACCTTTACAGCTTGTGAGATAAAAGGAATAGATCGACTCTTTCCCAGGGTCCATACAGCACTCTTATTATGGAAGATCTCTGGACTTGCTTGTGTTATGTGCTCATGCTTTAGAGCAATCACTGTGCTAAGTGTATGGGTATCTCCCGTAGATAGGACATAAATGGAGTGACTTGATTGACAATCCAGTCAGGGGCACATGAAATGAGGAGAACATCTCTGAAATTAAAGAGTCTTTACCATGTAATCATTTCAATTAAACAGTATCAAACCGCTGCACAGTGTTCTTAAATTTCTTTCGACTTTACCATAGATGTTGTCCATAGCAATGACCTGAAAAATATTAATACATTATGAATGACTTCTCCTTTCTTCATTCTCAATATTTTTTAATTCACATATCCTTAAATTCATATATCCTTTTATTCACATCTGAAGAAATTCAGATGTCTAGTCCTCAGTTCCTTGAAAGTGTGACAAGTAAAGGTCATACTCATGTTTCTAAAATCAAAGGGAACATTCCCAATGATCTCTCTGGCATAATAAAATAAGACTGGCATTAGATCTCCATTATCAGCAGGTTCACATTGTATGGAAATACCACATTTTATTTACCTATTCATCGGTTAATAGAAATTTGGTTTTGGGCCGGGCGCAGTGGCTCATGCCTGTAATCCTAGCACTTTGGGAGGCAGAGGCGGGTGGATCACCTGACGTTAGGAGTTCAAGACCACCCTGGCCAACATGGTGAAACCCCATCTCTACTAAAAATACAAAATTAGCTGGGTGTGGTGGCGGGCACCCATAATCCCAGCTACTGGCGGGGCTGAGACAGGAGAATCACTTGAACCCGGGAGGTGGAGGTTGCAGTGAGCCGAGATCGCACCATTGCACTCCAGCCTGGGCGACAAGAGCGAAACTCCATCTAAAAAAAAAAAAAAAAGAAGAAGAAAAAAAGAAATTTGGTTTTGAAGTCACCAAAAAAAAAAAAAAAAAGGAATAATAATTAGCTGATTAATAAAAGTTGTAGAACAAAGACAACTTAGAGCATGGTCCTTCTAGAACATTTCAGAATGGAGCACTTTGCACCACCAGTGTGAGAAGGTATGAAAAACAGGAATGGCAGAATGGCTGTTTAGGCTGTTCACTTAAGGTCTAGAGGCTAGCAGTATCATTACAGAGAGTGGAGGAGGCAAGACCATTACAAGGGTCCAAATCAAGGTCTACAGCAACTCTGCTGTCCCATATTTACTTTTCCCACAACTTAGCCTCAAGGACATTCTCAAATTCTGGCAGAAACAAAGAATACTAAACTCCTATCATGCACCATAAACCAGTAGAAGACCAAACACAATGGTCCTGTGACAGGAAACAAATATTTTGATTTATTTAACAACTCTTATACCGCCAACTGTTCTTCCACACTCTTTCACTTTCTCCTAGATAAAGGCTTTCTGTGTTTGTTTCCCTTCTTTTTTATTTCTTTTGTCTGTACCGTTGTATTCATTATCTTTCTTTTAATCCTTAAGCTACTCCACTCTTTCCATTCCTATAGTTGCCTTTTTGTTACAAATCTGTCTCCCTCTAAGAAAGCTCAGTGATCATAGATTTGCCTCTCTAAGCCCTAAGTAAATTCCATGTACTTACCTCATTAAAAATATATTAAAAGACAACCATGTGTTTGCTCAAGGAGGAGTGAAAATATCAACAACTCCTAATGAGGAGACTTGATTTGTGAACAGCCAATCAGTATATATTTATTGCATACTTTCTCTGTGCTGTAGAAGTCAAAGAAGAAGAGAGGCTTTCAATGACTATAATTGGAAGAGCAAGATAAACTTCTTGTTTAATACAAAGTTAAATAATGATATGCAAATTAAAAAATATTGAGAATGAAGAAAGGAGAAGTCATTCATAACGCATTAATATTTTTCAGGTCATTGCTATGGACAACATCTATGGTAAAGTCTAAAGAAATTAAAGAACACTGTGCAGCGGTTTGATACTTTTTAATTGGAATGATTACATGGTAAAGACTTAGGGGCTTTTTGTAGATTATGAGACATGGAGAGATGTGAGAGGAAGAGTGAGAAAAAAAGAAAGAAGTGAAGTGAATAATTGCAGCAAGGGAAAGAATGATGATGGTTGAAAAAAAACAGAGGAAAGAAACTTTTGTGTTCTTTTGCACTGCTAACCTACTGGTATCCTCTCTGAAATGTGCAAGAAACAACATGTAGATTAATGTGTCTAAATTACAGAGTGTAGGGTCCTAATAAGATAGAAACTGGGTAAAGCTCGTGGAAAAGAATGGTTGACTGCACCCTATAGAACCATGATCCTATCCAGAGGATCCTGATTAAATGGAAAGTTATAGACATGGGCTTCCAAGCCAATTGCTGCTGCCTTCTGTGCCTCCTTTGTCCTACAGGAGGCACTCCCTGGCCAACTTCCAGCCTACAGTCTGTACCCAACACAACCACCACTTCTGTGGTATCTTCAGGGAAACTGAAACATACCTCTTTATGCTTCCCCACACAGGTCATGGAGAATTCATTAAATGCCTTTAAATAGTAATGAGATGGGATTAGAGTTCTTGAAATTTCAATCTGGTGTGTTTGGGGAAAATGGACCTGAGAACAAGGAAGTGAAGAAGCTCTGGTAAGATTTGAGGTATTTGAAATTTGTATTAATATTGTTAGTTTTGGAATGGAAAGAAAGAGGACAAAAATGATACTTCAAATGCAGTCTCAATAGGGCTTTGCAGATGAGTTGTTTTAATAGGCAAAGTAGAAAAAAATCCAGAGGCTTTGGGCCTTAATGGTATTTTTAACAGGGACAAGAAAACCCACTAAGGCAAGCTGGTTTAGGAGTGAAAATTACTGAGTTTGAAATTATTGTGACATATCTAAACAGGAATGTCCAAAGAAATGGTAGAAATAAAGTTATTGGAAGAGAAGAAAGTGAGAGGTGACAGCGTGCTGGCAGCTCTCGCTCGCTATTGGCTCCTCCTCGGCCTCAGCGCCCACTCTGGCCGCGCTTGAGGAGCCCTTCAGCCCGCTGCTGCACTGTGGGATCCCCTTTCTGGGCTGGCGGAGGCCAAAGCCGGCTCCCTCAGCTTGCGGGGAGGTGTGGAGGGAGAGGCGCGCGCGGGAACCGGGGCTGCGCCAGGCGCTTGTGGGCCAGCGCGAGTTCCGGGTGGGCGTGGGTTTGGCGGCCCTGCACTCCAAGTGGCCGCTGGGGGCCGCAGGCCTCGGGGAGTGAGGGGCTTAGTAACTGGGCCAGCAGCTGTGGAGGGTGTGTGGGGTCCCCCAGCAGTGCCGGCCTGCTGGCGCTGCACTCGAATTCTCGCGGGGCCTCAGCTGCCTCCCTGTGGGGCAGGGCTTGGGATCTGCAGGCCCCCATGCCTGAGCCTCCCGCTGCCGCCATGGGCTCCTGCATGGCCGGAGCCTCCCCGACGAGCCCCGCCACCTGCTCTGCAGCCCTGTCCCATCAACCACCCAAGAGCTGAGGAGTGCGGGCGCACCGCAGGATTGGCAGGCAGCTCTGCCTGTGGCCCCACTGCAGGATCCACTAGGTGAAGCCATCTGGGCTCCTGAGTCTAGTGGGGACTTGGAGAACCTTTATGTCTAGCAAAGGGATTGTGAATACACCAATCAGCACTCTGTGTCTAGCTCAAGGTTTGTAAATGCACCAATCAGTGCTCTGTGTCTAGCTCAAGGTTTGTGGATGCACCAATCGGCACTCTGTATCTAGCTAATCTAGTGGGGACTTGGAGAACGTTTGTGTCTAGCTCAGGGATTGTAAACACACTAATCAGCACCCTATCAAAATGGACCAATCAGCAGGATGTGGGTGGAGCCAGATAAGGGAATAAAAGCAGGCTGCCTGAGACAGCAGCGGCAACCCGCTGGTGTCCCTTTCCAAAGTGTGAAAGTCTTGTTCTTTGCTCTTTGCAATAAATCTTGCTGCTGCTCACTCTTTGGGTCCACACTGCTTTTATGAGCTGTAATACGGGGAAGGTCTGTAGCTTCACTCCTGAAGCCAGCGAGACCACGAACCCACCAGAAGGAAGAAACTCTGAACACATCTGAACATCACCTGGACATGCCGCCTTTAAGAACTGTAACACTCACTGCGAGGGTCCATGGCTTCATTCTTGAAGTCAGTGAGACCAAGAACCCACCAATTCTGGACACAAAAGGAGGCAGGCCTAGAGTGATAAACAGGATGTCAATAGCATCTGCAGGTAAATGACACGTGGCTACTCACTGTCTGTCTCATTTCTCCCACATCCATTCGTTGCATTACCATCGTGGTGCCATCTTCTTAGCAGGTAACTAAGCTGGCTTTGCAATGAAGGAGAAGGGACAAGTGTTGATATTAATAGAGACTGACATCTGCAGAGGCATGCCTGTAACCCTTAAGTCAAACAGAATATTGAGCAAAATTGAACTAACCTTGTCTTAAGGCCTTCTGGATAAAGAGATGTCTCAATATACTCTTGACAAGCTACTCCATTATTTCACTAGCATTAGAGTCTGTCAGGTTGTCTGTTTCATCAGTAAACTTAACCCTCACCCATTAGACTAGTAGAGTACTATGGTGACATACTGGATGACCCATCTACTTAACTCCTTCACTTGGGATAAGGGAGGACATTCGTGATCTGGGAGAGAATTAAAGCATCTTCCCAACTCGTTTTTTTTTTTTTTTTAATTCTTTATAGTACAGGGTAAATATTCTGTGGGTGGCACCTGGAAGAAAAAAGGAAGGAAGGAAGGAAAGAAAAGAAATCAAACCCAGATTTCATAGGATTGTATAAGCATGAATATTAATGTCACATATTATTATTTAAAAACTTCTTTTTTCCTCTTTGCAAAGTTTTCTAACTGAGCCATAAAATTCACACTGGCCTAGAATAAGGCATCCAAGCTAAGTGCCCAAAAGTGCCATATTAATACTTTAATAAAGGTTGAGCAGCCAGAGCAGTAGTGGCAAATTCTCTCCTGTCTGTTCTTATAAAACCAGTTTTCTAATTCTCCTTGTAACAATTCTTATCTCCGCATAACTCCTTGCTAACAGTGATCAAACTACCTTTTTGATCTTGGGGGGCCCTATTAATAGAGATTTTTTAGTGGGGGAAGCACTGCAGCAAGAGAAGAAATTTGATTCATAGTGTCTCCTATTTGACAATAAACAGCTTTTACAGGTGAGTAAACCATAAAACAAAGATGGCAGTTATTTTATAACTGCAAAGCTTATACATTATGACTCAAGTTTTGTGCCATCAGAAATGGTTTCCCTGTGGAAAAGTAAAAAGCAAAACCTTGCTAGAGAAGAATTTTAAATTAAGAAAATGCTCCATTACATTAAAATCTGAAGCATGTATCTGATTTCAGAATTACTGCCCATAATGAGTGAGCAAAGTATTGCGATCTATATATCCTGATATAGATGTACCATAAAGTAAATCAAGAAGAGGAAGTCAGTACAAATTAGTTACAGGAAAACTTTACTCAAGCACAAATGTGTTTTAAAGGATATACCAGATTCCATCCTCCTGGAATGTGGATGTAAAATAATAATGATTCTTGGTGCAATAATTAAATCATTTTAATGCTATCTGATATTCCAAAGCAGTTAAATTCAACCTATAAGAAAAAAACCCAAAATATTAAAGATAAAAAATTGGATCATTTCAGCTGAGTGTGGGATTATGGTTAACAGGCAAGGTGAGAAAACTGGATCGTTTAGGCTCCAAGGAGTGGTTCTGTGTCAATAGCCAAGGCAAATTGAAATGAGATGACTTGCATACATCTGTGACACAGTCTTGGCCTAATTCTAGAAATCAAAAGTCATGAGATCATTAGCTTTAGTAAAACAGGAAAATTAGGTGAAGTGAATGTCTACTACATAAAAGTGGATAGCATATTTTCATATCTGAATAACATTGAAGTGTTTTGTCTATGATATAAACTCAACTAATCACCACTGGGAAAAAAAACAAGTCAGTAGTGTAACATGTCTGTCAAAGTGTCTAACAGTGCTGTAGGAATAAAACTAAGTTGTATACTTCATTTTTCATTTTGTAGTTTAAATGTATCACTATGATAATTCAATATACTTATTGAATAATAAATGCTATTAAAATAAAATGACTATCAACTTGACTAAATTAGTCTTGAATGATAGATAATGCAGAGAATTTAAAAATATACAACACCGACATATTCTAGGCAATGAAAATTAAACCTATCTTCTTTAATCTCAAATTATGTTTTAGAAATGTCAAAGATGTCTTCAAAATTGGAATATTAAAAGGGCAGCCTATGCAAAGTACTCATTTTAAAATTTATCTTTATAGTACTGTTCTGCTGTGGGGCCGGATATTCAGACAAAAAAAATCACAGCTACTGATTAACTGATATTAAGGAAGGAATCATTTCCCAGAATGAGAACTTAGTAATACATTAGAATTGCTGGAAGTGTGAAACATTGTGCCATGAAACACAGAAAAAGCCTCATCCCTGAAGTTATGCCCCATCACTCATGTTTGCTGGCATCATGCCCACCTTGAGGACAGTTTTTCTTACTGCTTATACACACTAGAGTTTTACTCATCTATGGCTCGTCAACCACAATAATAATTTACTTCAGACAGAAACTGGCTTGGTCAGTGGTTTGAGAGAAGTGCGCAACTTACCACCTCTTCCCTTTCTTCTTTCCTTTCTCTTGGGGCAGTACCTGTATACTCTACTCTCTTGCTTCCCTGTGAATTTCACTGCTCAATTTAAATGTTTCATTTTAATTCTATCTGTGGATATATATGTCCTCTGTATTCACTCATTCCCTCCTTTTTCTCTACCAATTATGGCCCTATTTCCTTTGAAAATTTCTTTCTGAGGACCAGGGCCAGGTTCAGGGGCCTGCAACCTTTGCAGTTGCATAAGGTTCCTTAATCAGAAGGCCCCCAAACTTGGCTTAATGCTCTGTGGTCACTGTCTTGAAATTCTTAATAATTTTACCTTTGGCCTTAAGTTTTGTATATAAAGTCTTATGGAACAAGAGATAGTGCCCACGATTGCAGGAGATATGTACAACATGCATTTTCATTGTTCTTTGCCACTTCATTTGAATATTACATTTGCAGTGACCCAGGAACACAGAATGCCAGTGGACCCATGACGCATGGGAGTTCAGAAACACTCAAAAAGAGTACAAAAGGTGTGTTAAGTTTGTGTCAGAATAAGTATGGACACTGACAGCCCCAAAAGGCCACGTGCTCTGCTTGAACCAGAACTTCTTCCACAGAAAGAAGAAAATGACCAAGGAACTCTATCACATACTTTTTTATCTTACATTGTTGTGTTAGCCAATTGTATTAAAAATGATGGCATAAAAGGAAAAGAATAGATAAGGCAACCCCTTGCTCTCTTTCTTTTAAGTCCCTCCTAACTCATCAGTAGGCTGAAGGTAGAATGTTGGTAGAGTATGTGCCTGTCAAGACATGAAATAAAATCTGTTGACTTAGTTTTGATGCAGTGTTTTGACTGCTCTGCCATGGTAAGAATGAAATACAGATTCATGTGTGAGGTATCTATTTAGGCCATTCTTGCATTTTTATAAAGACGTACCTGAGACTGGGTAATTTATAAAGAAAAGAGGTTTAATTGACACATGTTTCTGCAGGCAGTACAGGAAGCATAGTGCCAGCATCTGCTCAGCTTCTGGTAATGCCTCAAGGAGCTCTTACTCATAGCAGAAGGTGAAGCGGGAGAGGGCAGGTTACTTGGTGAGAGTGGGACCCAGAGAGACAGGAGGTGGTGCCACATACTTTTAGACATCAGATCTCGTGTGAACTCACTCAAGGGGATGGTGCTAAGTTATTCATGTGGGATCTGCCTCCATGATCCAAACATTTCCCACCAGGACTTACTTCCAACACTGGGGATTACATTTCAACATGATGTTTAGTTGGGACAAATATCCAAACCATATCAAAGTACAAAATACCAAATGTGTAATTTTAGTGATTTCACGAGTAGCGTGCTCTTATGTTTGCATTTAAAACTGTCATTGCACAATATAAAGATCAAGGGTAAAATTAATGCTAATAATTTATTTTTTTCTTTACTCAGAAGAATATTAAATAGCAAATAAAAACACCATGACAAGTTGGTGTGGGGAGGGGAGGAACGATGGTAGGGAGATTACAGAAGAAAACAGAAGAAAGAGAAGTTTTGTATCTTAATACCTTTAACTGAACTTTTCCCCTGTTTTCTGAACTAGAGGCACAACATTTTCATTTTGCCCTGAGCCCCACAAATTATGTGTCTGGCTCTGCTGAGGACTTTAAGGTTGGAATTGTGTGCCTAATTTTTACAAACTATGGCTGAAAAGCTTGCCATCAGTGCTAGTAATATTCCCAAATTATGGAAAAGACAGATCAAATTGGTGACTTTTTGCAAACTCCTTGAAAATATTCTTCGCATTCTTAAAACTTTTAAGTAAAACTCATTCTTTCTCAAACATGAATAACCAAAATAATTTTTAAACACTCTATTTCTTCTTTAATGGCTTTGCTTTATTTTATCACAAGTATTACAACATTATTTTCCTTCTATTGGTCTTGAAAATACGCGGTATTTCTGCTGTCCTATGGGTTACACAGACTTTGATTGGCCAGCATAGTAACTCTAACAGCCATGTGTTTTCTGGGCTGAGTTGGGAACCTGACCATCATTTCAGTCTTCAGGGAAAATGTGCTTTAAATACCAAACAACAAACTTAGAAACAAACTTTGTCCCATAGCTTGTTTGTAAATCAAGAGCTTTTTGTTTCTAGTTTACATTTTGTGACAGTTCAAATATGATACCCGAGATACTGAATTTGCTTCATGATTGAAAAATGTGTTAATGTTTATTGAACCAGTTTTGAGAGCTTGGTATGCTCTTTTCCCTTGGATTGGACTTGAAATTTGGTCAGGAAGAGGTAGGACAAATGGGCAGGCAGGAAGCAGACAGATAGGAGAAAGAAAAGTTCCAATTTTGCACCTCGATTCAGACATTTCCTGCTTTTATTCTTGCTTTTGTAATTACTAGAAGGAATACTTAATATTATTTTAAGTAATTTTTAGTCCTTTATCTCCTAGAGACCTACAAACATTAGATGTTTTCTGTGAGACTATCCTGTGAGAATAGAGAAGAGGTTCTAAATGCTATTCATCTCTGTGAAATTTATTTGCTTTCAATCAGTAAGAAAAGTTAAGGATTTTAATTTAAAAAGGAAAAAGCACAACGAGAAAAGTGAAAATGATTCCCTCTGATCGCTAATGTCAACTATGGTCACATTTAATAATTCTTTTTCTGCACATTGAGTTCATTTTTCCTGCCTCTTCCTTTGAGTGCAAATTTTTTTCAGATGACATTATCCTAATTTGATACTAGCAACGTTAGCTAAAAACAATAATTGGATTTTTTAGGTAACAACTTCAATATGAACTAGCTTTGCCTTACTTCAGTTATATTCTTAGTACATTATATATGTTTTCCTTTTAACTACATTTCATTCTTATGTCTTCCTACCATGTAAAGGAAGCAGTATATTTTATGTAATCTAAATGATTAGTTCTAGTAAATATTACCATATTTTCAAAAATAACGATTTCTACATTTCCATCAGCAAGCCTTCTGTAAGGCAATTTTTAAACGTTTTAATTATAGAACATGCATTTTTTTAACCAAAGGACTGTCACAGATTTTAAGTTATAAAGGGATACCTAGCTATCATTTCTTTTATTGAATCTCCATCTTTTATTTGTAATAATTGTCCCTGATATTATGCTTATTTAATTTCATTGCTTTTAGAAAATGGCGGTTTTATTTTAATGATTTTTTTCTATCAAAACACTATTGGATAAAGCCTCCTTCCCAGGTTAATAACTCTTATTAAAAATTGTTTTCATGTGTTTTTTACAAAAGCAACTTAACGCAGAGACTTATGCCAGTATTATAGTCAATGTTAATAATGTCCTGGGAAACTATGAGGAAACGCTAAATGATCAAAGATCACATATTCGGAAATCTCTAGTGTGGAGACGATTCCACTGCCATATATACAGCAGCAACAACAAAACCGCAGACACCCAGTGAATTTTGATCACCTACTGTGTATCAGGTTTTTTTGTTTTCCCTTCAAAAACCACGATTTCATCGTATTCTCACGATAAATCCTCTGAGATAAAATGAAATTCTAGGATTAACCTCGATACCAGTAACACCTCCAACTCGCCAACAAGTTTTAAACCCCTAATTGGCACACTGCCTTGTGTAAGCAGTATTTCAATAAGCTTTGTGTAAGTTAAAAAAAAAAAAGTGGGAGAGCGTTTAGGGGTCCTTTGGTCCCCATAACAACTAAAAGTCTTGGTTCTTTCTAGAAGTACAACAGATGCAGTAACAGGGAACTAACTATTCAGTGCCTCTGACCAGATCCCGCAGCCTTTCCTAGTCTGCTCTCATCTGAGCAGGAGTCCTACTCAAAGGAACCTGGTTTTCTTTCCTTTACTGGATACTACAAGGCACAAATCGGTTACTTCTGTGGGTGTCGGATTACTTGTTTGTAAACTGAGAAACCTGGACAAAGTTTTCTCTAACTTTCCCTGAATCGTCTCTGGAGGTGAGAGGGAGTTCGAGGCTAAATCAGGAAAGATACCCCAACCATCCTCTTGTGGGTGGGGAGGAGCAGATCTGCTGGGTTAAACTTGGTGGTCAACAAACTGAAAGCAGCGACCCGCGGGCTGCGAGCGGAACAGCGGGAACGTTGGATCAGAGACCCAGAATCAGAGCCGCAGTCGAAGCCGCCCCCTTTTCCGGACGCCCCGTCCGCTCCTGGAACCGGGTTCACATCACGCCCTCAGCAACACGTTATGCGTTGGTGAACTACATTTCCCAGAATGCCTTTCAACCTTCTTCCCAGGGCTCCAATGAGCGCCGTGGTGACGCCATCATCCGGCGCGGTGTTTAGACTCCACTGATGTCGTGGCGCTTTAGGGGAAGAAGTTGGTGTTTCGCTGGGCCCTGGTACTGAAGACGCGGTCCGGGTCGCCCCTAGCTGTTTCCTACTCACCCAAAGCCCCGCACCCGCCTTTTCTCTCTCTCCTCTGGCAGGATGAGGCGTGCAGGCCTGGGTAAGAAGAGGGCTGAGGTTCGAAGTTCGGGGCCCTAGAACCGGGAGCGCTGGGGCGCGGGAGGAAATCGAACCTGTCTTATGTTCCTGGCATTTGGTCCAAAAAACAGGATGTCTAGAGGGGATCTTTGGGGTCCATGTCGAGTGGAAACACACCATTTGTCCCAGATCTTTGGAATTTCCTTAAGTTTGAGTCAGATTCAAGTTTGGATGGTAGGCTAGAGAAAGTAGTGGACTAGGGGTGGGTGTGTACAGGTGGCATCTCAGTGGTCGAGTGTTTTAGTGTTATTGACTGAGCGTGGTTATGGACGCTGCTATGTTTTCCAAAGCCCGACTCCGGTTTCTGTTTCCCTACTGGCCCTGGATCTTAGTTTCTTCAGAAGCGGAATTTGAAGAGTGGGTGGTTGCACCCAAAGCACGCTAGTAATGGTCGTTAATCTGGTAACAGTGAGTTACAAAGGTAAATGTATGTGTCATTATTGTTAAAGGTCCTGGAACTGGAACTTCTGGGTCAAAGGCGATTTCTTAATCTGAACCTTGTGCCACGGTTAAGGCAGTAGAACGTGGTTAAGGTTTGGCGACTTAACATTTGATCTTTACCTTTGGGGTTAGGAAACTGGCTCATCAGCAAGAATAAGTTAGACACAAGGAATTTTAATGGACCCTTATAGTAACGCACAGCTACTAGAACGGCATTTTCTGGTTCTGAAGCTTTCTCTTAGGACACGATTTTTTTTTTAAAGAAGACCCCGCTAAATTAGAGTGCAGTATACTTCAGAAAATAAATGAAACATTTGAAAAAAGATATTACCTTTCTCAGTCATTATAAGATTGAAAAAAGAAAAAAAAAATCCCCAAAGTGTCAGATATTTAAAGTCAGTGAAAGTTGCCAATAACCGTAGACTTGTTTATTGATCAATAAATTGTAGTATGAGAAAGTTTTTTGTTTTTTTAATGAAGTTTTTATGAATACTTAGATCATAGAAAATGGGGCCAGGTAAATTGAAGAGAAAAAAAAAAGAAATAATTTTGAGCAAGTTTAGCTTTATATGTCTAAATGTTTTTCTTGTTCATCATCCTTAATACCAAAAAAGATTTATTGTGTGCTTGAGTAAGCTCTAGGTATACAGTTGTTTGTTGCCCTGTTTGTGATCCCCAAAGCTTCCAGTCTAGGTGGGGAGTAGGAATATGTGCAAAGATAAATTGTAGTACAAAGTGTCGCTATACATCCAAATACCAGATAAGTTCTACATATAAGGGATGGTCTCAGAGATTTCAGAGATAGATCACTGTGTACTTTGTGGGGAAGATCTTTGTGTATTTGGTGGAGACATAGGAATTTGAAGTAGACCTTGAATAATGGAGAGTGGGGGAAGTGAGTTCCAGATAGGAGGAACTCAAAAGAAGTAAGGGATTATGATTAAGCCAGTTTGGGTGAAGTAGGGGATTCGGGATCACACTGTGGAGATCTTTGCATGCGAGGCCAAAGAGTTTGGATTTCATCAGTAGGCCCCTAGGCCCTTTTGAGTATTTTCCTGCTGCAGTGTGCCATGTTAAATTGCAGGAAAGTGACTTGAGTAATGGTTCTCAGCCCTGACTGTACATTAGAATCCCTTGGGAAGTTTTTAAAGTATTGTTACCTGGACCTCAGCTCAGCCAGTAAAATTAGAATTTCTCCAATTTAGAGCCCACTACCTTCTCCTTTTTTCCTTTTTTTTTCTTTCTTTTTTTTTTTTTTTTAAAAAAAAGCTCTTCTGTGATTGAGAGGAGAAGTAATTACCTAGGTAACTACTATTGCTATAATTTACATTGGTGTGAAGTGACAAAGGCTTTTGTTACACATTTTTTCTTTTCTTTTTTTTTAAAGTATGAATGCATATTGACCTGAAATTTTAAATTTGGGATCATAGTGAATCTGATACATATCCATAGGCAGAAGCTGCCACACTTCACATGAATCTCTAAATGGTTTTGTTAGCTTACTGATAGAACCTATCCAAAAAAGTAGCGTTTATCTAAATAAACAAAGGCTGAGGATGATCTTCAGTACTCACTAGCTTTTTTACAACTTTTCATAGCAGTACACCACCAGAAGAGAAGTGGCTTTGTTTGGAATAGCAATTCTAGCATTTTATTTGGTTTTTACTTTTGTCATTGTATTTGGGATGGGTCATAGTTTGAGGGAAGATCAACTCTTTAATAGGAATGTGCATTGATATATTTCTGGACGATAAATACAACAAGAATTTCACTTTGAATAAATGGAACAGCATGGAAGAACTCTAAAATTAAAATTAAGATAGGCAAAAGCAACTAAACAAAGGAAAGAAAAAATAGCAGTTAATTTATAATGAATTCCTTGGTGAAGTTGTCAAATGTTTGAATTCAACCAGTCAGTAATTACTTATTGGGTAAATGTTATATACTCAGAACCTCAGCCACACAAAATAAGAAGACATTCTTTCTTTAAGTATCTTGGCCCTTATTAAACTACAGTTTGCACAGAGTATCATTGGTTAACAGAGTAAGAATGCATTTTTAAATGGTGATTTTAATATTTGACTGAGCGGAAAAATATGCCCACTCCTTGAGTTCTTTTATAATAAAACATGTGGAGAGCTTCATGGATAGTGTGTCATGGATAGTGTGTCAGCAGCAAAATTCAGATAGTACAACTCTCTTCTGTTTGGAAAATACTTCTTCAATATTTTGTTGTGGTTTTTGTGGTGGTGGAGATTGCATAGGTATCTGCTGCATATAAAGTACTCATTAGGTACAGGGAGGATATGGAAGCATGAGATACTGTCTTTGCCTTCAGAGAAGCATATGATTCCATTCTGGACAAAGGTATGCACATTCAAAGTTCAATAACAGTGAACTCAGATTCTTTTCATTAATTAGTTCACATCATGTATTCATTGAGTGTGCCTTACAGTGTGTATGTGTTTGTAGGTTTATGGGGGGACATACAGTGTTGAGTCAAACAAACTTATTCTCTTCCCTTATAGTACTGTACAGAGTGCAATATTAGTGTTACATACAATCAGAGCTGTAAGAAATCAGTGAGAGTTTTGCTTCATAGGGAAAATGAAATTTCTATTGTGCCTTGAAAGAAGTTCCTATTCACACCTTGACTGTCCTTCAGTGATCAGTGCTGTTACCTCCTGTCACTGCTGCTGCATCTGCTCATTGAGCATATGGAGACTTCTAGTTTTGTTTGTTTTTAATAGATGAGGTCTTGCTGTGTTGCCCAGGCTGGTCTCAAATTCCTGGCCTCAAGTGATCCTGCCTCCCTCAGCTTCCCAAGTAGCTGGGATTATAGGTGCAAGCAACTGTGTGCAGCAGGCTCTGAGACTTCTAGTTTTGATATCATTCCTTTCCCCACATTCTCAAGTCACTGTTGAATCTGCTTTAATATCTGTCCAATCTAATCCCCATAATCCAGATCTTCAACCGCTCTTTTGGCAAGCAGTCTCAACCTCTTGGGGCTCCGTTTTTCTGCAACCTCAATATTATAAGCTTCCAACTATAGATTAGTCCAACCATCCACCTTCTCCTGGACTAACTCAGGCCGATGAACTCTTCTGCAGAAAAAAACCACACACCTGGGACGATTGAAGCCACCGTAGTATATTGCCTCAAACAAGTTTGTTTTATCTTTAGTAATCCTGTGCAGTCCCGGTCCCTTTCCTCCATCATTCTCCTTACTGTATATTCTGAATGATCACCCATTCTTCAGCAGATAGCCCGTTTTCTCCCTTTACTGAGAAAATTGATGGCAACAATTATGTTAAAAAAAAGTTCACGCCTGTAATCCCAGCACTTTGGGGGGCCGAGGCGGATGGATCATGAGGTCAGGAGATCGAGACCATCCTGGCTAACAGGGTGAAACCCTGTCTCTGCTAAAAAATACAAAAAAAAAAAAAATTAGCCAGGTGTGATGGCGGGCACCTGTAGTCCCAGCTGCTCGGGAGGCTGAGGCAGGAGAATGGCCTGAACCTGGGAGGCGGAGCTTGCAGTGAGCCGAGATCGCGCCACTGCACTCCAGCTTGGGCGACAGAGCGAGACTCCACCTCAAAAAAAAAAAAAAAGTATAGTTAACTAACACCCTGAACTATGCCGTTTCCTGTTAATCGCCCAACATATTTATATATGTATTCACTAAGGCCCACTCCATCTGTTGTTTGATAGCCTGATGACTATGAAGTACTATATTAGGCAGGGAGGTGTACATTCTTATCCCTTAGAGTTCCATAAAAGTAGCACCTAGAAAGAACAGTGGATCTGATACATGGTAATTCTTCAAATATATGTTGAAGAATAAATGAATCTCCCTCTTGACTCTCAGCTAGCATTCTGCATAAGTTATTGTGTCTCTTTCCTAGAGCTTCAGTTTGCCCCCTCCCTGCTTTGGCTCTTTCCTGTCCAACTGTCTATTTAAGAGAAAGAGATGCCAGTAAAGAACCCTCGCCGCTATGAGCTCCCGTCCTTCTGTATTAACCACTTTTCCCTTCCTCTTCACAGCCACGCTTTTTCAATGGGTAGATGATGTTACTGCTTTTAGAACTTTCATTAAAATATATGTTTCTCTTGAGCAGGGAATGTATCCTGAATATTCTTGTGTATTAGTACCTATTTTTGTATCTTCTGGACAATCAATAAGCAATCCAGAAATGTGTATCAAAATGAACTGAACTGAATATTCTTTGGTTAACAGAGAGTAATGGAAAGAATTGGTCTGATCTCTGTTTGGTTATTTATTTTTTAAATTCATTTGGAGTATGAATATTAGAGACATATGTGGTTTGCAAGGCCCTCCAGGGGTCTTTTTCAGTTCTTTCCTAACTAACAGTGTTTCAAAAGTGGCTTCTCTAGAACCACCTTTGTGACTCTGATCCTTGCAGGTGAAGGAGTACCTCCTGGCAACTATGGGAACTATGGCTATGCTAATAGTGGGTATAGTGCCTGTGAAGAAGAAAATGAGAGGCTCACTGAAAGTCTGAGAAGCAAAGTAACTGCTATAAAATCTGTAAGTATATAACAAATATTATATGTGTTTTAATTCATATATTTCTATACATATAATTATAAACTATATATTCTTATTGACGTCATCCTAAGGAATTCATTTACTCAGATACTGTGGTTTTGTGAGGTCAAAGTACACTCAAAATTTAGACTGTGCTTTGAGTAAGTTAAAAAATGTGGCACATCAAAAGATAGATTTTTTTTAATACTTAAGAAAAATCTCCAGCTCTTTTTTGTATACTGTATGCTGTCTGCTGTAATGTCTCAAACAGAGCTGTCCATCTTCCACCCCCAAGTAGCTCTTCTGCTTTTTTTAATCTAGCCTTCTAAGCTATAAATCTTGGTCTTTCTTATTTCTACCTTTGTACTTCATTTCAGTCACTGAGTCTTACACTGTCTTTCTGATGTTTCTATCTTTGCCTTTCTATTTCTAATACTATCCCCTGGTTTTCTTTTCTTTTCTTTTTTTTTGAGATGGAGTTTTGCTCTTGTTGCCCAGGCTGGAGTGCAATGGTGCAGTTTTGGCTCACTGCAACCTCTGCCTCCTAGGTTAAAGCAATCCCCCTGTCTCAGCCTCCCAAATAGCTGCGATTGCAGGTGCCCGCCACCACACCCGGCTAATTTTTGTATTTTTAGCAGAGACAGGGTTTTACCATGTTGGCCAGGCTGGTCTTGAACTCTTTATCTCAGGTGATCCGCCCGCCTTGGCCTCCCAAAGTGCTGGGATTATAGGTGTGAGCCACCGCACCTGGCCTATCCCCTGGTTTTCTTAGTTGAACTATTGGAAGAACATCTTAACCTATCTGTTCCTGTTTTTTTGCACATTATGATCTGAGCTATATAATCATTGCCACAGTCCTCGTTTAGAATATTTTAAAACTTGCATCCTGCACTCCCAGAAGTCTTCAGCGTCCTTCCATGATTTAATAAAGTTCATGCTTCGTAGCTTGATTAAATCAGATAGATCTTTCAAAAATTGGCCTTAGCTTTTGAGATCTTATCTCTCACACTTCCAGAATCTGTATGTGCTTCCTGCTAGACAAATTACACTTTGTGTCCTCTGTATGCTGTCACTTTCCCACCCCCATATCACACTATCCCTTTGCCTTAAGCCTCCACTTCCTTCTTAGATCAACTGAAGTGCTGCTTATCCACATCCGCCCCACTTCATTGCACCCCCTCCCTCCAAACTTTTACCTGATTACCACATCCAAAAGTAACTTTTCTTCTTATGAACATAAGACCATTTGTGCCATTTCTGTAGCACTTATTCATAGTGATTTGCATTGGCATTATTTGTATGTAAAAGGAATTTACCAGAATGCAGGTTTTCTATTGTACTTACTTTATATTCTATATAGCACTTAGCATAATTCCTTATCAATGGTGTTGAGTAAATTTGTATTGAACCAAAGAATTACACGAAGATGATTTTAATAATATATGTGATTGATACTGCATTATAATGAACATGACGTTCACTTATAAAGCATTCAGTAGAAGCCCATGTTGATAAAACTTAATTGGTATTTCAATATAGTCTTTGGAAAATCGAATTACATTCAGTCTGGAGACCTTTAGATTTTGAAACAGGATTGTTTTCAAAGTCATATTAAACTAAAGTTGATTTATGAACTAAGTAATATTGTATAATGTTAATTTTAAAAATACAACACTTGGAAGGACTTAAGAATTAAATGCCTTTAAAAACCCCCCCAATGTAGATAATTTAGATTACTTGTTAGAAGAAAGTTGTGATGTCCTGGAAATATTTTTCCTTGGCATGAATGACAGTGATAGAAGTTGAGTAATGTGGGCAGTCTAGCTTTATAGTTACTTTATTATCTCTGAGTTGTTAAATCTGGGAGGAAAGCTCATGTTCTGATCTATAGAATTCTAGTATGGTTTTGTATCAGTATTATCCCATGTGCTTTCACACAGATGAAGAACAATATTTGCAGTGATTTACCAAGATTTTCAGTAGATGATTCTATTTATTTAAATATCTTGGAAGTGAAGCCTTTGATGAATCTGTCCTATAAAGTATTAGATAGATTTTGGTTTGAATAGTTGTCATAATTAGCTATAGTATTGTATTTTGTAAGCTATGGCTCTTTTCTTCAGAGCTTCAGGAAGTAAGTAACACTAATATTTATTTTTTTCAATTTATTATCATATTTTAAAGCAAAAACCTTTAAACTAAGGAAAAATCAGTTTAGACATATTTAAAGTAATGTAACATTTCATTAGGAAAATATTAAATACTTCTGTCTAGATTTGAATTGGTTGTATGGGTACTTCTAGATCTTTCAAAATGTAATAAGGTTGGGTACTAGGCTTAATTCTTGGTTGACGAAATAATCCGTACAACAAATCCATGTGACATGAGTTTAACTGTATAACAAACCTTCACCTGTACCCCCAAACCTAAAATAAGTTAAAATATATATATATAATTTATAAAATATAATAAATAAAATGTAAGAAGGAAATATACAGATATTTGTAGGAATTTGTAGCTTTTGTAGGAATATAATAAAGATATAAAAGCATACAAGGTTAAGAGAATCAGAGAGAAGTAGTACATACCAAATTAAAAGATGGAATTGAATATTAAGATGAAATTAAAATAAAGAGGAAAGAAGAAATGTCCATAATTGGGAGGAGTAGAAATTCCAAATTTATTTTTTATTGATCTTGGTAGAAAAAGTATCAGAAAAAGAGAGTTTATGTGTCTAGAAGACCGTTTCATTTCAGAAAATGTGTATGCTTAGAATGACA
Organism: Homo sapiens; assembly: GCF_000001405.40. Classification (NCBI taxonomy): domain Eukaryota; kingdom Metazoa; phylum Chordata; class Mammalia; order Primates; family Hominidae; genus Homo; species Homo sapiens. The sequence goes on along the minus strand of NC_000007.14, from coordinate 93,996,389 downwards.
TTATTTTTACTTTATAACACTTGAATACTTTTATGTGAGTAATCCTGTGTATACCTTCTTCTTTATAGCTTTCCATTGAAATAGGCCATGAAGTTAAAACCCAGAATAAATTATTAGCTGAAATGGTAAGTGGTTATGATTTTAACTTTAAGAAATTTGATCTAATATTCGCAAATAATAGAATTTCAACTTTTATTCATTTTGAAATACAGAGATCGTAAGTCCTTGATTCCCGTCCATTTGTATCTAATGTGTTTGGAATAACTATAAGGTTTATTTTGCCATGCTTTTGCATTTTTCATCTCGTCTTACGCATGTAAGTGGGAGGAACAAGTGGAAGCCAATATATCTTTAATCCTGTTTTTAGAATGATTGTTAAAAACAAGACAAATGACTATTTTGAGTAGTCTTAGAAGTCTCAATAGTAGAGACTACTAGTAATTTATTAACCAAGCAATCAAAAGGCACTTGATATCCAACCAACTAAATGTCGTTCACTTAATGGATACTTACTCTTTTGCTTGATTTCCTAAGGATCACTTATGAAAAAAGTGCTCATACATTTGAACAGCCCAGAGCCTTTTCTCTCTAACAACATATACCTTTTCTTGTTAGAGTCCCCTTCCATTTGTTAACGTTTATCTTGAATGTCAAGCTTCTCTGAACCTTCTCTGGTTCCATGTGCTTTTAAAATTGTGCTATTCAAAAATGAATTTGGCATCAAAAGCAATGTTCTTGCTAAGCTTGTGCGCTATAATAAGCTAGGGACCTCTTTAAAAATGTATATGCCTGATTCTGTCTTTAAATATACTGATTTAGAATTTCGTGAGGAGGGATCTAGATGTAAATATTTTGAAAAAAGCATCTCTGGTGATTCTGATGCATAACCATGAAAAAGCATCTCCGGTGATTCTGATGCATAACCATGGTGAAGATCCATAGATCTAAAGTATATGAGCCACATAGACACTGAGCTATACAAAGGATATTTATTATTATGCCAGGGCTTTTACATCTCAGGATATTATAATTTCTATGAAAGTATGTGTAATATTTCTAGTCCCTACCTAAGCCTCTCTCATCTTTAGGATTTTCCAGCTATGTTTTAATACGTTAGTTTTTCCCCATCCATATTTATAGTCCTTATCACATTTTACTACCTCTATATGATATTCTCTTAACTTAATAGACTCTACTTCAAAGTCAGCTGTCTAAACAAAAGGATATTAAAAGTAAAGGTCCAAGGCCTAGCATGGTAGCTCACGCCTATACTCCCAACATTTTGGGAGGATGAGGTGGGCGGATTACCTGAGGTCAGTAGTTCAAGACCACCCTGGCCAACATGGTGAAACCCCATCTCTACTAAAAATACAAAAAAATTAGCTGGGCGTGGTGGCGTGCGCCTGTAGTCCCAGCTACTTGGGAGGCTGAGGCAGGAGAATCACTTGAACCTGGGAGGCAGAGATTGCAGTGAGCTGAGATTGCACCACTGCACTCCAGCCTGGGCAACGAGCGAGACTCCGTCTCTAAATAAATAAATAAGTAAATAAAAGTACATTTAACTGCTAACCGTATTACATTTTGGATGAAATCCTCTACTTGGGTAGCAGTCAACCATTTGACCTTGGAGAGCAATGGCACAACAAAAAGTGGGGAAAAAAATCTGTGTGATAATGCACAAAGTACTTACATTTATTGTTAATTTTTTTTATCCACATAATTGGAATAACACCTAAATAGTTTTGAGTTGTTGAATTACTCTGTGGAGCTGAAAGAAGTGTTTATTGGACAATGAAAGAGCTTTTTATTCGCTGAGAGTATTACTGTATTTTGCATGGAGAAATCAGGCTGATTATCCAAGGTTATCAACAGGCTCCTGAATTGATTAAACACAAAACTGTCATTACAAATGTACTATGGTAACAGTTATTCAATTACTTGGATATGCATATGTAGACTCTTAGAATCTAACTGTGATATTTTATTTGCCTTTATCTCTGATAGGATTCACAATTTGATTCCACAACTGGATTTCTAGGTAAAACTATGGGCAAACTGAAGATTTTATCCAGAGGGAGCCAAACAAAGCTGCTGTGCTATATGATGCTGTTTTCTTTATTTGTCTTTTTTATCATTTATTGGATTATTAAACTGAGGTGATGCATGTAATTGTGAATTTGGAATTTGTTCCAACTTAATGGCTTGCAGTACCACTTTGATAAAAATCAGCATCAAAACATTCCTAGTGTTCAAATACTGTGGCATTTTCCATTGAAAATTGCTGAATTTTGCTTATTTTATAAATCACATTAGTTAATACAGTGGTCTTTGAATACTGTTTCTTAATGACTCATTTTAGCCCCTATTTTCAGGGGTAGTGAGAGGGTGTGGCTCCACTAATTTCCAGTTTGTTTTTCTATTGTTTGCCAACTGTCAGATTAAATAGCATTATAATATTTTGTTGTAATCATAAATGCAGGTTTATGTCCCATGTAAGGAAACTTAGTGGGAGAGTAACAGAATGCCTGGAGAGCCTGACTCTGAGCTCTTGAAGTAGTCAGCCAGTTTGTGGTAAAATGGTAATTGAATTTTCCTAACTGCATCAACTGTAATGATATACTCCCTTCTCCTCCTTTATTTAGTTAAAATTGTAGGCTGATTTCTTTTTACCTACAATCTTCCTAATAATTTTTGATGATAATGACCCCTCATTTCTTTCTGCCCAAAGACCTCATTCTTTAAATAAAACTTGTTATTTTGGCATATTTCTGGTAGGGCCCATTGCACATGTGTATCAGTATAGTTATTATTTCATATTAACTTTATGAATTCTCTTGACTTGGCTTATAATAGTTTTATGATTTTTACTACATAGGTAGCACATTTATCATTTGTGACAGAATAATGTGAAGTTAAGTAATTACTGAACTTTAAATGGAAATAGTATGCAAGAAACTCAGGCATTGAACTTGAAGATAAGAGTATTATTGCTTTAATCCAGTGTATTTGTTTATGGAAAGAAAAACACAAAGGCAGACTGTTGAGTAAAAAATATTAAATATTGTTAAATATTCTGTATTTTGGAATTTATCCATTTATAGGCTTCAAAAGTAAATTTTTAAATAAAATATATTAGTCGACTGTGTTACTTCTTTAAGTCTCTTTTACATTCTCAGTAGAATCTGAGAAATGGTCCTGACAACTCAGATTCCAACCCAAATCAAGCAAAGTTAATATTTGTATTGTTGGAACTTGATTCAAACAAATAAGCAAATCTTGACTCTATTTCAAAAATCTCTTTAATTCTTTATATTTTGGGTTATGAATGTATTTTCTTGGATTTTACTGAGTTTTCAATTCTTTTTGTTCATCCCTAATAACCTGTCAGTTTGGGTTCTATTTTTTCTGGCTTCATTCGTCATTATTTGGGCCTCTACCTGACAGGTTAAAACCACCGGAACTGAGTGTGGTTAAGGGACTTAAACAGATAAGCCTGACGTGTGATGGGAGAGGCACTGGTTTGAGTTAGATGACCTGGGTTCATATCTCTATTCCTTAACTTGCTCACTGCTTTTGTCCTTGATTTCTTCATTACACCATCTATTTCATAGGATAGTTGTGAGAAGTAGATAATATGTTGTAAAGTGCCTGGTATGCGATAATCACTCAATAAATGTTGGTTCTCACTACCATTAACAGAAATTCTCAGAAAAGGTAGTTATTTTAAGGACAAGACAATAGGTTGTTTTCAGGCTTCAAGGTGATGAAATACCTCCAAGTAGGTATTTTCATCAGGCAATTGGAGAGTGACTCATTCATTCAAGAAGTTTTTAACTGTACTTTGTGTCAAGTATGTGACACCAGAGCTCACGGGAGATTCAGAAATCATTGTCAATAATTAAAGTTGTGAAAAACGGGAAGAGCAGAAGGCCAAAGAAAATGACTTAAAAATGAAAACAGGAGAATCAACAATGGAAGTAGAGGATATCAAAGCCTTAGGAAAACCAATGATGGCAAGAGAAGGATGGATTTCAGGATTGTTTAGCTATTTTATGAAAGTACTTTGTAAAATATTTAAAAATTTTAATGTGGACAGTATCATCAAGCAGATAGAGATTTCAGGAAAAGGGATTTTGGGTGGTATAAAAGTGATTCTCATCACTGCATGGTTCAACATTTCTTATGATTTTTATTTCTAAGTACTATTTAAAGTAGGTCTCTACCTGGCATTTTGTCTTGCTCCTTCACATCACTGTGTCTGCTGAGATTCCTGGCAGGCAGGGAACTCCTCTGGACACACTGGCATGTCGCTGCCCAACCAGGGATCCTTCTGCCAGCACCCTCTTTTTCCATCTAAAACAAATATGCAACATTTTAAGCATCAGAATTCTGGAGCAGAGAACCCTAGCACCTGTCCCCATGAAAAACTCTGGTTCTATAAAATAGTTTTCCTAATTTTTTAATGCTCCTAAATTTCAAGTTAGATATATTGAATTTACTTCTTTGAGAGAATGTTGAAAAAGTGTTTGATAATTTGGGTTTATGCAGTCAATAAATAATAAATAATGTCATCATTCTATACTGATGAATAAACTTTGACTAAATATTTATTGGGAAGCAGAGTAGCATTGTGGCTAAGACCAAAGGCTATGAAGTTACACTGCCTGAGCATAAATCCTGGCTCCACCATTCACACTATGACTTTGGGCTGATGACCTCTCCATCTCAGTTTCTCTGTTTGTAAAACAGGAATAAAAATTGTATAAAAATATAGAAATATACTCATAGGCTGATAGGAATAATTAAATAAAATATTTAAAAATAGTAATTTTTTATTTCTGTGTTGTAAAATCTCCCACCACACTCGATTCCAAGCACTATTGTGACAGCACTGAAACACAAGAGTTGTGAATATACATGCACAATTAGCTCTCTTGAGTTGGTACAAGCTAAATTCAGTACACTGTGGTTATGTTGGTAAGTGTTTCTGAAATATTTAGAAGTTGTTTCCCAAATGAGAATCTCTTACTTAAATTTTAATAGAGAAACTTCAGATGACATGAAATTAACTGGTGAATTAACTTGAGAATGATACCTTTCAAAGGCAATAGACACTTAGAAGATCATTTCCATATTTTACATATGTTAACTTTTTCTCAACTTGTATGGATAAAATCTTCCTACATTTATTAACCTTCCATCTTCTGGTATTTGAAATCCTGTGCAAGAATCATTTATGGAAAAGGCATGTGGTTATTGTTACTCTGGCTTCCTCCGTTCTTTTCCTTTCAGTTAAATGTTCAAGCAGGAGAGCAGGATCCTTCTGTACATTTCATAGAGCTTTGTTCTCTTTGTATATATATTGGCATCTGTATCTTAGCCAAGTAATTCACCTTGTCCTTTTAGAAGAATTTTTCACAAGCCTTGGAAAGACTATTGCATGAACCAAAGAGATATGCAAAGTGCCAAGTTCAAGTCTTAAAGTAATCTTTCCTTAATCTTCAAAATGAAGAGAAAGAAATAAGCATAAAATGTTTCTGACCGAAAAAAAAAACAAGCATATACTAGATGTGAGACTCCAAAATTCATTCAAGCTTAATCATTTATAACATTAGTAGCTGAAGTGTAATGCAAAATGTAACCACATTACCCATTATAAATATAAGTATTCTACAAAGTCTTTATGACATTTAGAAAAGAAAAACTGTTTAATGTTTTCTTTTGACTTTGCTAATTTCAACATGGGTTATAATTATACAATTATGTAAAGAATTGTCCTACTATGTTTTCTCAAAGATCGATGATTTTGGTGTGATACACTTGAAAGCAGACAGCTGAATCTGACTTTTAGTATTTATAGCTTCTCTAATGCCTGTAATTAATTTAGAAATGAGCAGGAGAAAATGAAATACATAGCATAAAAATGTCTATATACAACAGATATTAATATATTTATAATGAAAAACCTTGTCAGGTCATCAATTTACATTTTAAAAGAATATTTATAATTATTGCTTTCTCCTCAAGTTTATCTCATTAATTAATAAATAGTTCGACCAGCTGGTAATTTATTAAGCTTTTACATTATTTAATAATCCATTTGCTTTAAAGCACATAAGATAAAGTGTCTTATTTTTAAGGAAAGTAGAACATGAGTTTTATGTGAGGTAATTTGTATTTCAGAAAAGTTACTGGAATAAAATGCTTTAGTCTGATTATACACAGATTTAATGCTTAGTTTCTTCAAAGATCTTTTAATATGTTAATTTTACATTAATATATATTTATATTTAACTTATTTCAAAATTATTTAAAATCTGTAAAAGGCAAATTGAGTTTGTTTTGTTCACACACAAGACAATTTCAAGGAGTCCAAATATGTTATGATGATGTCTATTAAAGATATCCATACCACATGATTAAAATTATTTTCATAATTAATGGATTATCTTCTAGGTTACTGCTTGAAAGACAAACTTCTGAATGGTATGAGCTAGTCAGCTTCCTTAAACTCTTTGTCTGCATTTATTTCTCATGGCTAAATAATTTAAATTTAATTTTAAACTATTTCTAAAATAGTTTTAGATTCACACAGAGAGCATTTTAAACCAGATCAATGGGGATATAGAAAACATTCTTTCTATTGGTTACACACTCTTTTGTCTTCAAAATTGCCATAAACCCTATTTCCACAGGCTCAGTGAAAACTGAGCACCAAGAACGTGATGTATTTTTGACTCTAGCAAAAAACTAGAAAAGTACACACAAATTTTGTTTGCATTCACAACCGGTCACTTAAGGCAACTGACAATGCCAGGCTCCCTACTGTGAAGTTTGTAACAGATGGGACAAGACAAATTGCAAAGTTTAGTTCACTTGCACTTACACACAGTGTAATCTGAATCTACCTTTTGGGCATGGCTAGCAACCACCCTAGGGCAGTTTCACAGAATCCTCTCTCTAAACTTTAAAAAACTTAAATTTATTTTTTTTTAAAAAAGAAACTACAAATCTATTTCATAGAATAACAGCATTCTAATATTTGAATTTAAGAGTGATTTTAATATACTTGCTTCGGCCTGGCACGGTGGCTTACGCCTGTAATCCCAGCACTTTGGAAGGCCGAGGTAGATGGATCACTTGAGGTCAGTAGTTCAAGACCAGTCTGGCCAACATGATGAAACCCCGTGTCTACTAAAAATACAAAAATTAGCCAGGCGTGGTGGCGGGCATCTGTAATCCCAGCTACTCGGGAGGCTGAGACAGGAGAACTGCTTGAACCCAGGAGGCAGAGGTTGCAGTGAGCCGAGATCGCACCACTGCACTCCAGCCTGGGTGACAGAGTGACTCCGTCTCAAAAAAACAAACAACAACAACAACAGTATATATATATATATTTTATATATTTATATATCTTTTATATATGTATATATATATATTTATATGTTTATATATATATTTGCTTAACTTTTTTCTACCACTGTGTGTCTTAGAATTAATCACAAGGAAGTTGTGGTGGAATAAGTTTTAATATAAGTGAAATGTGTGTTGGCAAAAATGAAAAGGAAGGAAGGAGAGACAGGAGAAAGTTAAACTTCAGTCCTTTTTGTATTAATATAGTCTTTTACCTAAATTATATTCAGCTTTTTCCGGAGGATGTAGACCTTCTAAGGGCAGATGGGCAGTATGAAAATATTATATGTTAACTTATTTGCTTTTTAATTAAGTGTACGAGTGTTGCTTTATTCAACATGCAGTTTTGCTCTTGTTTCTAGTAATGAAATGATGTATGTTTTCAGAAAATTTAATTAATTACTAATTAAACAATTCCTACTGGTACTAATCCATGCCAGGTAAACTCAAGATGGGTTTTCTTAATATAAGCATGCATATTTACTCATGACTTAAATTTTTGTTCTAGTACTTCCCTAGAGAGGTTATACACATACATCCATCTTAAACTGTAGCATCTGCTATGTAAAACTCATGTTTTTCTTCACCAGTGAGGAATTTTAAACTGTTAACGTCTTCAAAAGATATCTCTGTGGTGTTTGATGGCCTATGCACATAAACAGTGTTTCAATTCTTTTAGAGATATGAATTCCTAATAATAAAGAACATAAAATTCATTTAGGAAAGACATATTTGGTGTGTATCAACATAAAGGACCTTATGTTAAACACCTGTGTTTTCCATTAAGCACTTGGCACAGTAGTAGATCCCAACAAGTGTTTGCTGAATAAATTGATGCTTTGGTTTTCATCTTTTCTGCTAGAGAACATATCTTTTTAATCACCTCTCACTAAAATTCCAGTGCTGAGACCATAAAAGGCCCCTAATAAAAATATATGGCTTGATTAATAACATACCAAGTTTACTTACTAGCTGAGCTTCTTTAAGTATTAGAGGTACAATATTTTAGCCATTAGATTAATTGGGGACCAAAAATTATTGCTAAATTAAAATTCTTCTTATGATTTTCGCTACTTTAAAGCTGAGGGAAGATGAGTTAAAATTGAATGCCATGTCTACAGGGTCAAGTATGGATGCCACTTAGGCACAAGTGGAAGAACAACTGAGGAAAGCTGTTTAATATTCTTCCTCTTCCATCAAAATTCACATTTTGTAATCAAGTATCTTAGCTTTAAAATGCACTTAAAAACTTTTTTTCTCTAAACTCAGAATATAGCCTTGAAATGCACTTTACAACTCTGTTTCTCTCCCTTTCCCACCAGACACTCCCTAGCACCATGCACACTTATTCAATGATATGCTTGTTTAGAAGCTCCCGGGGCTACTCTAGAAGCAAACCAGATACGGAAACCCAGTTGTAGAACTCTCCCCCACCTAGAAATTACCTCAGAGGGGATAATCTATGACCCAGCCACAGTGAAGATGATGCCAGCTTGGATTCTGTCCAGGTAGACAATAATTCAAGATAGCCATTGGAACAAGACATGCAGAACTGCACCTTGCACAACTCCTGCAAGTTTCTCTTTTTAAACCCCTACAGTCAGCCCAAAAATTTGAAATGGTTTTGTAGAGGCATAAACCTAGCCATTTCCTCAACTGCCGGCATTTGATTAATAAAGCTGCTTTCCTTCCACTATACCTCACCTCTTGTGTATTCGGCTTCTCAAGCGGCAAGTGGCTGAACTTGCTTTCCACTGCAATTTCAAGGCATGAGAGGTTTATCAGTATCTCTGACCCAAGTCGATCCGGTGAGTTAGGCATTTCATTCCTGAAAGCCTAGATTAAAAAAACAAAAAACAAAAACAAAAAAACCCTTTTTTTTTTTTCTATGTCTGTTTCAGAAACACATTCTGAGAAATGCATTGTTAGGTGATTGATTTTGTCCTTATGAGAACATCCTAGAGTGTGCGTACACAAACCTACATGGTATGTTCTACTGTACACTTAGGCTATGAGGTGTACCCCATTGCTTCCAGGCTACAAACCTGTATAGCATGTACTATACGGAATAGTGTAGGCAATTGTAACACAGTGGGAAGTATTTGTGTATCTGAACACATCTAATCATAGAAAAGGTAATGCATTGCACTGTGATGTTACAATAGCTACATCACTAGATTATAGGAATTTTTGCAATGTTACAATGGCTACAACATCACTAGGGGATAGGAATTTTTCAGCTCCAGTTAATCTGATGGGACCACCATTATATATGTTTTCCATTGTTGACCTTAGCCAAGAAGTCTGCATTTCACTCAAAGCCCTACAGCAAGATGTGTAATCCACTTAGCCCACAATGTAAGTGGTGACATCTTACCAGGGAATTTCAGTGGCACATAAATTAAGAACGTATTCAAGTGACAGGCGGGGCATATCCCTACTGTTGGCAATTAGGCACACCTAGTTAGCTTAGTATCTGTGGGTAGTTCACATTTTGCTGCCATTGATGATGCAGTCATTACCTTTCTTCATGTTTGTTATGCTGATATAAGGGAATCAGAGAAAAGAGTTTTTGTTTCCAACTTTCAGAACAGGCAATCCATTCTCATTTGTGAAAGGCAAGTGATAAATATTAGCAACTTAGAAACTCAGCTCTTTAGGTCTACCATGGATTTTCAGAGCTAAAACTTTCCAGTCTATTCCCTGGATTATAGAATTTTGAATTGCAAATGAGATACCATTTAATTCAAACATTATTTTATAAATTCAAGTTTCTGTCCTGCACATGTTCACAGGTATAATTGAGAGATACTTGAGAACTAATTGAATCAAGAGGATGCACATAGGTCGAATAACAAAAACCGAACAGATTTGTTTTTCTGGTCTGGCTACCATCAACTCTCATTATTTCTAACCATTAACTTTAGCTGAGACGATAACAGAAATGGTAAGGAAAGAAGAATGGGGTGAGGGGAGCAGGAAAAAAGATAAAAACATTTAAATCTCAGTATCACAGGAGGACCACTGTGGTCCGTTTCTAACTTTACAACCACCAACTCTAAGATGCTCTAGGTCCTTGGCTGTGTGTTTCTGCCTTGATCCCTTAATTGCTTATCAGCTTGGAGGGTGTTGTTTGAATGATTGTGTCTTATTGTGGGACAATCTGAACCTGAAATTTAGTTGGAGTGTCCATATTCATTGGGTCCTATTCCACTGAGCTCAACCTACCATTCACAAGAGCTGGATCATTGCTCTGTTAAAAGCACATTTATATTAAGTATATGAGGTGATGTTCTGTACTTAAAACTCTCCATTATTTGGTTTGAACACAGTTTAGTTTGAATACATTACAATACAGTTTGAATACATTACAATATAGTTTGAATACATTACAATACAGTTTAGTTTGAATATGAACTCTCCACTATTTAGTTTGAATAGTTTAGTTTGAATGCATTATTTAGTTTGAATTATTCTGTTATATACCAGCATCACACAGATTAATAATAATAACCATTTATTGGGTGAGAGACAGTTCTGAACACTTTATGTAACCTAGCTCATTTAACCTGCATAATATCCTTAAGGTGAGTATTAGTAATAGCCTTATGTTACACATAAAATTCTGGCCCAGAGCCATTAAACAACCGAAAGTCACATAAAGTTTGGAATTCAGGCAGTCTGTCTCCAAAGCCTGCATTCTTAATCACACACAGCATTGTTTTTGTAGCTCAGCATGAAACTTTATAGAAAGTCTTCCCAGACTCAAGGTAGATTATGAAGTTGAAAGAGGACCAGCAACAGTAGCCATATTTCTAACTTTCTGGAGTTGGGAGCATGGTTAGGGAAGGTAGCAGAGACAGTGTGGGGGAGGGCAGAGATATAGAGGTGAGAGAATGGGATAGTAAGACTGTTTTGCTAGGAATTGAGCCTGATTAAAAATTCTGAATTTTCAAAATATAGAGTGAGAATATATATTCTTTATAGCTTCTGAAAAAGCAAACTATTTTAATCTCCTAGCTTCTGAATTTGATTTGTAAATCAGCAGTTGAATTTGGCTAGAGACTGTACTAGACATAAAGAAATCTGTGTAACTCCATGATATCTGACATTTTCTTTTGTCCTGTGAGGATTATAGTACTAATACATGACTAAGTTTTCTAGGGAGAAATATTTATTCATTTAGCCATATTTATATCTGAATTTTCTTTGAAGACTTTTTTTTAAATCACGCAATGCTTTATAGTGCTCTGATTTAAATTTCCATCAAGCATTTGCAAACACAATCTGGAGGCTATTCTGTAGTTCATTATACAAGTAGGCATACTGAAGCACAAAAGGAAAGAATGATAAGCTAATCAGTGCTGTTTTGCCACCTAATTACAACATTTTTTTTTTTAACCCACGACATTTATCTTTGTTTCTGGTTCATCCAATTTCCAGGAAAGAAAGTGGCCTTCTTCAGTAGAAGGAATTTCATCTCAAATAACTTACAATTAATGTTCACCTATTTGGCAGAATGACATTGTAACAGTACTAAAAGGTTTGACGTAGTTGTCCACCAACTCTTCTCAAATGTACTGAGTTGAATAATAGTTCCTAAAGATTCATGTACACCCAGAACCTCAAAATATGACCTTATTTGGAAATAGCATCATTGCAGATATAATCTAGGTAAGATCAAGCCACACTGGGTTAGGGTGAGCCCTAATACAATGACTAATGTCCTTACAAGAGGAAGGACATTTGATGGGCACAGAGACACAGAAAATGCCCTGTGGAGACAGAGGCAGAGATTGAGCAATATGCCTACAAGCAAAGCAACACCAAGGATTGCCAGCAACCACCTGAAGCTAGGAGAAGGCAAGAAAGGATCCTACCCATGAGCTCTCAGAAAGAGCATGGCCTTGCCAACATCTTGATTTTGAAGTTCTAGCCTCCTGAATTGTGGGATAATCAATTTCTGTTGTTTTCAGCTACCAATTTGTTAGAGTCCCTAGGAAACTAAGACATCAGTCATTGCAGCATCATGGGTTGCCTAGGAGTGCCTGGGATGAAAATCCAGATGCACAAGAGTGAGATTCTAGACAGCAAAATACAGGGCTCTGGCTACCACATTCTCCTAAGTGCCAGCTATTGCCAATGCAGTCAAGCTCTGTGGATATTCTAGGGAATATTTGCTCAAAAGACTTTATTTCTTTTCCTTTTTTTTTCTTTTTTGCAATGCATGACTGAAGAATTGAATTGGGTAAATAATGCACCCAGATTAGTAGAAGCAGCAACCTGAATGAGGCTGAAATCAAGGAAAATATTCTGAAATGAGGAGCCACTAATAAGACACTAACCCTTTCCAATTGATATAGTGTAATTCTGTAAGCATTTTTTTCCCACTACAATTTTGTACAGAGTCATGGCTCATCTTAATTTGGTCCTAAAATTTTTTTAGGTCCATGAATGTATATCAAACTTAACCATTGATGCAGAAAACATGTTATGTGTCCTTAAACACAGAGGAATTATTATAAATTTTAATCCCCTAAAATATTGCAACTTTTGGAGATTTTCCCCCATGAATCAGAGACCAGTTCATGTCTTTTTAGGGAATTCAATATATTGAGGTGAACCACCAATGCAATAATATTTTAAAGACAAGAGTTGATCTTGTCATGGCATGAAGAAATAATTAATAGAGACGTACTCCATGAAGAAGTGAAAGGGAGGATGTGTTCCAACTAGAATTGGGAAGAATAATGTGACACCAAATACCTTTTTCTATCAGTGATAGGAAAATAGACAATGACAGGTCAAAAATAATCAACAAGCCATGGGTCATGCCTTAATCATTGAGTGAATGCTAAAATGGGAATCTCCCAGACTCTCTTATTTCCTGGCCTGGGCCACCTCTGGTCTTCTGGTACTGATTTTTTGGCATCAGGATCAACTTTGGATCTAGAAGAGGGAATTGTCTGAAGAATGCCTTATCTGCCCTGTTCTTTCCCTAGTGTAGGGTCAATTACGTCAGTGCTAAAGAACATCAGAACCTTCGTATTATGAGAAATGTACATACTCTTTTCTCAAGCAGAATAAAAATAACTATTCTTACTGAAATATGTAGAGGTGTTGATAGTATTAAGCACAATTTGAACAAACAAGCAAAACTATCCCCTTTCTTGGAGATAAGGGACAAAATTCTGTATTATTTGTTCAGAATTATTATTATTTCTTGTGTACCCAGAACCTCAAAATGTGACCTTATTTGGAAATAGTGTCTTTGGAGATATAATCTAGTTAAGATGAAGCCACACTGGATTAGGGTGAGCTCTAATCCAAGGACTAATGTCCTTACAAGAAGAAGGACATTTGATGGGCACAAAGACACGGAGAATTCCAGGTGGAGAATAAATTCCCAACCATACCTTCAGTCTCTTGAGGGCAAGGACAGGATGTATACACATTTAATCTTTATTATCCAAGCCCAACATAGTATCTGGCACATAGTAGAAACTCAATGGACTGAATGAGCAAATAAGTTCATAAAGTAAGGGGCAGCTGAACCAGAATCACCAAATTACAGAGTTCTAGACACCCAGATAGGTAAATTTGTTTATGACTGAGAGTTGTCAATTATAATGGGATGGCAGAGTGAGAGAATTCCTGGCTTCCAAGACCATTGGAACTATCATCTTATACTATGTTTCTATTTGCTAGAAAGTCACATAGTACAATGAGCTTCATAATTATAGACTGATCTATATATCTATATTTCAAGCAGTGTGCCATGATTTCATAAAATATTTATTAAGCTTCTGCCAATAGTCTACTAGATATCATAGAAAAATACATATAAAATCCTGCCTTTAGCAGATTATGACATAGCTAAAGATGTTTACATTCATCACTACAATTAAGCAATAAAGCAGGTGCAAATAGGTGTGTGGTGGGATGAGGGAGTAGCTTTTATTTAATATCTGTATCAGATCCAGACTCTGTGTCATACCAGAGCTACTCAGCTTCGCCTATCCACTCTCCCCACAATCCTCCGCTTTCTTTGCTTCCCAGCTGGAAGGATCCTGGCACTGCCCACTGGTCTTATAGTTTAATGCCGTGACTTCTGCCACTGCCATGCACACCCTTGGACCAGTTCCCATTGGCACTACTGACTGCAATGTCTGCTCCATCACCAGATTGGACCAAGAGAAGGTGTTACTTCTCCAGTGGCTGCCCGGGAATGCTACCTGGAAGTACAATGGATTTAATGACTCCTAGGAGGACTTCAACCAATGAAAGACAAAGAGACAGCAGCAGCCAGCTGATACATTACTTGAATTCCAGGAATTGCCCTTCTGGAGAATTTATATGAGAATCAGCAACCTACTGTTTTTCCTTTGAGGCTGTGGACAGCTTAAGTAGTATGCTCTCTTTGCATTTTGGTCCCCTTTCTTCTCTGCCTTGCTGCTGTTTTCCCCAAATTTACTTCCCAATAAGCTTTTGAATCAGGCTTTGTTTTTCAGGAAGTGTGGGCCAAAACAGTACTTGGAAAAGATTTTACTTGGGAGAACATGATAGCTTTTTGCTATTTATAAGAATTCATAGACAACCCACTACTGAAGTAATGTAAACAATTAATGACCTTTTGCTTCTCTCACAATGTGGAATGATAAAAAGCAATTCAATGACAAATCATCCCAGTCTGTAGAGGACTGAGGGATTTCCCAGGGCATGAGACTTCCAGTGCTGAAACTGGGAAAATCCTGGGCAGACCAGGAAGAGTTGGTCACTGTGAAAAGCAGTTAGGAGAAATTTACAAAGGTAGGCTGAATTTGTGTAGAAACACCCCCAACAGCAAACACATAGAAATGACAGATAAAATACTACAAATATTAACAAAAAATTCATATAGGAATAAATGAAACAAGGGGAAATCTCCAGATGGCAGAATTGAAGAAACTGTCTAAAATAAAGCCCAGAGACAAAAAACAGAAAACTAAAAGTGATACTAAGATACGTAAATGGCGACTTTCCCAATTACACTTGAACTCTTGTGTACTTTCGCTTTGCAATAAAAACTTCTTTGCCTTTCACTTCAAAGAAAAAAAAATGGTAAAATGAGAACTCCAACATATATAAGATCACATCATCAGCAAACACAGACAGTTTTACTTCTTCCTTTCTGATATGGATGCGTTTAAAAATTTTTCCTTGCCTGATTGCTCTCGCTAGGACTTCCAGTACTATGTTGAATAGAAGTGGCGATGGTGGGTATCCTGGCCTTGTTCTGGGTCCTAAAGGAAAATATTTCAACTTTTCCCATTGAATATAATGCTGGCTGTGGGCTTTCCATGTATGGCCTTTATTATGTTGAAGCAATTTATTTCTACTGCTAGTTCTTTGAGAGTTATTATGGAAGTGTGTTAAATTTTATCAAATGCTTTTCTCATGTGATTTTTATCCTTCATCTTGGTAATACTGTGTATCAGGTTAATTGATTTTTGTATGTTGAACCACCCTTGAATCCCAAGGATAAATTTCACTTGATCCTGGTGTATGGTTCTTTTAATATGCTGTTAAATTTAATTTGCTAGGTTTTTGGTGAGAAATTTTGCATCTATGATCTTCAGGATTATTGGCCTATAGTTGTTTGTTGTTGTTGTTGTTAAAAAATAGTGTCTTGGGCTTTGGTGTCAGGATAATGCTGGTCCTGCAAAATGGATTTGGAAGCCTTCCTCCTATTCAGTTTTCTGAGGGAGTTTGAGAAGGATTGACATTAATTCTTTAAATGTTGGTAGAGTTCACCAGTGAAGCCATCTGGTCCTGGGCTTTTCTTTGTTGGGAGATTTCTGATTCTTGATTCAATCTCTTTACAAGTTATAGATCTGTTCAGGTTTTCCATTTCTTCATGATTCAGTATTGGTAGACTGTAGGTTTCTAGGAATTTATCTATTTCTTGTAGGTAGGAAAATTTGGAATGTTGCTCACATGGCCCAACTCTTTCCCTCCCCAGGGAGAAGCTGGAATCTGGGTTTTTTTGACCACTTGCTCTGCACCAAGCCAGGTGGAGGGGCGATGGCAAGTGCATGTGGGCTGCACTAAATCACTGTTTTTGTTCTTTCTCAGTGGCTCCCAGCATCTAGAGTACATTGAGTCTAGTCAGAACCTAAGGCCAGTGAGACAGAAGCCAGTTCCCTGAGCAACCCTCAGAAGAATTAGAACATTGGATATATGATCCAGTCCTTTCCTTAACTCCCCAGGGAGAAGCTGGGAGATGGAAACTTCCTCCCAATCATATGGCAGTATGCTGGGGGTGGGGATTATGGTGAGAAAGAGAGTCGAATTTTCTTACTGGCTTCAATGTGCCGGTCTCATGCTTGCTGGAGTGCAGGAGTCCCTCAGTTAGTTTCTGAAGTTCTCACAAAAAGAATTGGTTCATATGTGGTTGCTGATGTGTCATGGGGAGAAGGAAGGTTCTTGCTGACACTACCATTCCCATCTTGCAGTCATGTTTAAAGGCAGACAAGGTTATGCAAATTAGGATAGAATGTTAAAGTTCACTAATTTATGATATGACACTTATGGGAAAATGTCACTGCTTTCAGGAAATAAAAATATACTTTTATACAAAAGTATGTATAAAACATTTTAAGTTGGTGGTAAATCCCTGCCATTGCACTGAACAGTGGCACAGCTAGGCCTGTGTGTTAGACATTGGTTATTTTTATGTACCCAGCATCCAGACAATCCTTCCTATTATGAGACATTCCCTAGTTGTGTGTGTATCCCTTCCCACTCCAGAAGCCAAAGGGATTGAAGATACTCCCTTCCTGTCTTCCTGAAAGCCAGATGTAGGCTCAGAATGCAGACTTGACCAATTGGATACCACCAACTGGACTTCCAAAGATTCAGGAATCTGAAAAACTATCAGTGGCAGAAGCAGCAGCATCAATTATTTTGCAGGGATAGGTGTGGCATCCAGTGGCAGAGGCCTTGAGCATTTAGTGCTGAACAGTCTGGTAGACACGAGAAGACAGTAGCTTAAGTGTCCACTAGTGGCAGCTCCAGTGATTGGGTGCTCTTGAACCATGACCAGCTATACTTCTTATTCTCTGGCCAACCTTCATTTGTCCTTATCTATTTTTTATTCTTGATCTCCAAGCTTCCAGAATGAATGTGTGGACTCCCTTCAAACAGATTCATTTTCTGTAAAAGTTTGTCAAAGCCATTTTTTCTAACATCAAACTCTGACTGATATCCTAATTTTCATGATGTAAGTTTGCATATTACAGTAATTTTTAAATTACTAAAACTTGGGAAATGGGCACATAGTTTTTTACTTTAAGTAATCTATAAACTGAAAATTTAAACAAGATATTAAATAGAAAAAGGAAGCATATGAAAATAGTCAAACAAGCCAACAGACTAGTAAAGGCAAATTCTTACAGAGTTCAGAAACTCTAACAATGTATGATAATGTAATGAGAAATGCATCAAGGGGGAAATGAAACGTGGGCAATATTGTATAGGAAATGCAGGAAGGAGATAGATGAAGAGAACCAGAGAGATCTTTCCAAGTGGAAGTGCTGATCTGAGCAAAGACTTAAAAATGAGATTGCAGGCCAGGCACAGTGGCTCACTCCTATAATGCCAGCACTTTGGGAGGCCAAGGTGGGCAGATTGCTTGAGCCCAGGAGCTCCAGACCAGACTGGGCCACATAGCAAAACCCCTCTCGACAAAAAAATACAAAATTAACCGGGCATCATGGTACATGCCTTTAGTCCCAGCTATGGGGAGGCTGAGAGATGGGAGGATCATTTAGCCTCAGAGGTGGAGGCTGTGGTAAGCCAATCATGCCACTGCACTCCAACCTGGGCAACAGAGTGACACCCTGTCTGGAAAAAAAAAAAAGAAACAAAGTTGCAGATGCCACATTTTGAGACAATAACAACCAGTCTAGGACAGAGAGTTTAAGTAAAAGAAACATTAGATTATGGCCTCAGATGCTAGTAAGGAGCTTGAATTTGAGCCTGTACACGTAGGGGAATTGAAGGTTCCTAAGTGGGCAAGTGGCATATAATCAGGTAAAGGATTCAATGAAACCGTCACAAAGAAAGACTCCACAGGTTCTGGTCAATAAATATGATGGGGTGGTCATTAAAGAAAGTGTCAGATATGTTTTCAAGCTGGAAGAATGGAAGATTGACACAAGCATCTGGCCTCTGGGACAACATGCAGAATTCAGTTTTATTTCTGTTTACAAAGGAGAGTGGTCAAAGTGGGAGTTCCAATTTAGGAAGGAAGCTTCTGCATAGAGTGCCCCTGTGAGGGTTGGTCCCGTGGCCAAGAATAAGAGCTAGAGAGAGAGAAACGGAGAGCTGAGGTCTGAATCTTGTGCCAGATAGAAGTGAGTAAATGGTCAAAGTACAGGGTTTTTATTCTAATCCTTAAATCCTATTAAGTAAATAATTTAAAATATGAGGATTCATTTATAAACCAATTTTTTATTTTTTCTCAAATTAGTTTCACTTATACAGAGCTACTACCCGTAATCTGTACCATCTGTTTGGGGTTTATCTAATTAGAATGCATTCTGTAACAAAGCCAATGAAGGCTAAATAGTGACTTAGACTGGCAGGCAAAAAACTAGAGGTGCCTGCCCCATGCCCTGCTAATTCTGCATATGTATAGTAGAGACAGGGTTTCACCACGATGGCCAGGCTGATCTCAAACTCCTGGCCTCAAGTAATCTGCCTGCCTCGACTTCCCAAAGTGCTGAGATTACAAGCATGAGCCACCGTACCCAGCCCCTCCAACATCTTTGATGCTGAAAGATCTGTGCACAGTAGACGAAACTTCATCCAGATTATGACTGACTAACAAGGAAGATACAAGAGCTCAGGTTGGAGTATCCAAAGAAAATGTGATTGAGATATAGATATAGATAGATATAGATATATCTCAGCCATAAAAGGGAACAAAATAAGGGCATTCGCAGGAACCTGGATGGAGTCAGAGACTGTTATTGTAAGTGAAGTAAGTCACAAATGTTAAACCAAATATCTTCTCTTCTCACTTATAAGTGAGAACTAAGCCAGAAGGACGCAAAGGCATAAGAATGATATAACGGACTTTGGAGACTCATGGGAAAGTGTGGGAGGGTAGTAAGGGATAAAAGACTACACATTGGGTACAGTGTATGCTGCTCAGGTAATGGGTGCACCAAAATCTCAGAAATCACCACTAAAAGACTTATGCGTATATCCAAACACCATCTATTCTCCGAAAACGATTGAAATAAAATTTAAAAAATAATAATAAGTACTCTTTTATTAACCACATGTGGTCAAGGTGAGATGAAATATGAGGCAAAAAAGCAGCACTGTAATGCTATGTTCATTGCTATTTTTAAAGAACAATAAAATTACATTTTTTATTTACCTGAGAACTATTGTTCAGAGATCCTGCCGGCGTTCAAGCTTGACTAGTTTAAATAAAAATGACAATACCAAACATTCTTATGTTAAAAGGTCATTGTGCCATTTTAAGTGAGTACATGTACTTCATTTTATTGTGTTTTGCTTTATTGTGCTTTGCAGATGCTGAATGTATGTTTACACACACACACACACACACACACACAATAAGTAGATATCTTTAAAATGTATCCTGTGAAAAGTAGTTCTGGATGTGAAGGGGTTGGAGGGAAGCAGGATAAAATAATGACTTAGAAAGCTTTCTATCACATAAGCCTTCCATTAATTCTCTGAATACCTGCTCAGTTTTTCTGTAACTCTTCTGAGAGTACATTTACTTCTACTTTAAATGTTGTTTTGTTTTGTTTTTTCAAATTATTTAGAAACTAAGATCTCCATCTGTTTTTACAGTGGATCCTTCAGGTTCCAGGGATTTCACCAGTAGCAGTGAAAGCCTACTTCTGCTAATTTTGACTGTTCCTCAGCATTTGTCCAGAAGCTTAAAAAGAAGGAGGCTTACTTTCAGTGCCATCTATCACAGCTGCAGAATTATATCATGACATGTCAAAATAATGACTCTGAAGCCTTCCAAATCTTCCAAGAAAGAAGTAAGTTTTTAACAAGTACATTTGATAGTCTCATAATATTTTGAAAATTAAAAATCGTTATCTGGCAGGTGTGATTGAGCATGATATTAAAAGAGAACATCATGACATTCTTCAATTACTCAAGAGAAAGTAGCATTTTCCACCTATACCCATTATATCTGGATCATCTCGGCTTTCAAAAATGGTAAGCAGTATGCTTGTAATTAAAACATAAAGGATGACTTAATGACAATTTAAGTATCTATGCAAAAAACAGCATTAACTGGTGTGGAATGTCCTTTGCTATTAAAGCTTACAGACACTTTCTAATACGTCATATAAACATTTTTGCATTATCTTTTAAAATTAAAACACGATTTGTTAATTTTTTTACAACTAAAGCCATACATAAGGGATTTCCTGGCCAAAAATAAAAATAGTAATGCATTTTCTAAATATCACATGCTCATTGTAGAGATTTTGGAAAACAAAATTAAGGAAAAAATAAAAATCGTCTGCACTTTCACTTTCCAAAGATAGCTATTCTCAATATTCTAGTACATTTTATTTCAATTTTTAAAAACTTCTTGTTTTGTAAGAACATTACTTACAGAAAAGTTATAAAAATAGAAAAATACAGTTGCTTTAATGGTCAAAACCAAGAAGTTAACATTGGTACAATACTATTAATTAAATTACAGACATTTTTCAAATTTCACCAATTTTTCTTTTAATGTTATGTTTATGTTCCAGAGTCCTAGTCAGGATCTCACATCTCATTTAGTTGTGATGTCTTTATGGTTTCCTCTGATCTGTTACATCAGATACAACAGACACTTCTGAAGAGTCCTGGTCAGCTATTTTGTAGAATTTCCATCAATTTGGTTCTATTTGATGTTTCTCATGATTAGATTGAGATTATGCATTTTTGGCAAGAATACTACAGAAGTGATATGCCCCTCTCAGTGTATCATGTCAATATATGTATATCATGTATGATGTCAATGTATCTAATTATTGGTTATGTTGACCTGGATCACTTTCTAAAAGTGGTGTCTCCCAGTTTTCTCTACTCTAAAGTTACTATATTTCTTTTTTAATTAATAAATATTTTGTAAGAGTTACTTTCAAATGCAAATATTATTTCTCCTCAAACTTTTACCCAACAATTTCAGCATTCATTAGTGGTGTTCTAATGGTGATTTTCCATTTCCCTCATTCCTTCTTTACTTATTAATTGGAATCTTTTTCTAAAGAAGAGCTGCCTCTTCTCCTACATTTATGTATCTACTCAAATACTTATCTTTATCACTATGGCACCACAGATATTTACTTTATTCTATGGATTATAATCCAATTACATTTTTTCTTTTTGTAAATTTTTCTAGCTTTGGGCATTGGGATCTTTTCCATTTGGCTCCTGTGCCCTTTCAACATGCCCTATTCTTTTTTGAGCACTGTCGTACTTCCTGCTGCTGCATGGGGCTAAAGTCTTATCTTGTATATTTTCTGTGCCAGCCTTGGAATCAACTATATCTCCAAGGAGTTCTGGTTCCTTTTATTAGATAAAGGTATTAGAAACAAAAATCTGGGTGACAGGTGTGCTTACTACTAACAGAGTGTCACTACTTTTAGTACCTGTCAGTGAACATGGTTTCAGAATACATATATTATACTGGTTATTGCATACACATATGTCTAAGTTTATGTCAGTATTTATCTTTAAAAATGATGAATTCATATTGATATCTACAATTCCAATCCAATACTACAGGGTTTATTCTAGCTATCCCTTTTCTTATATATAACTTTTCTATTATAGACAAAGAGAAAACTGACTCTCATTTTCTTCAATATATGCATGTATTTTTTTCAACCCTAGCATACAAAGAAAATAGCTTCTGAAATATGAATCTGTACCCATTTGGGAACAAATTTACTAAGGAAAGTATATTATTTGTGTGCAGTTCTTTTTGTCTTTAGCCTCATACTATTCAATCAAAATATTGTTTTCCAAAATAAGTTAGTTCTTCTTTTACACCTCCTGTAGTGTTCTGTTACTCATTTTTAATACAGTTAGATACATTTGCTACAGTTTGTATTCTAGTTGGGGTTCTTCCCAGGCCTGGTGCATTTTAAAACCTTTATGTAGCATATAATTCAGTATTTGTATGCAGTGTCCCTGTTCAGATTCCTTTGTGTTTCAGCCTTCTCATCACAGGGCCCAGAGGCCAGGTGTTGAGGTATACATGGGAAGCCTATAGACCTCTCTTATCTGTCTTTCTGTGTTCTCGCCCCATGATCAGTAGTCACTAGGTTTTTAAAATGTATGGTTTGTATGCATACACATTTTTTTTTCTGAGTTCTTTATACAGCAGTTCAAGTAATTCACATGGAAAATCTATTTCATGAAAACTCCTTCTCCAGAGTTTGTCTCCCCAGAGCTAAATTCTGGTGGATGGGAATAATATACACTTTGTAGTTCAAAAAGTTCGGGGAACTGAGGATCCCAAAACCTTCCTAGATACAGCTGAAGTTTTGAGCCTTTACTTTAGTCATCAGCTAGCAATGTAGTAAATATGATTCAAGAATGACTGTTCAATTCTGCTCAACAGCTATAGGAGATCTAAAATGCCAGGCTTTTGCTTAGTAGTAAGACTGCAGAATCCTTAAAAACTGCAAACTCTCTTGTTCCATACTGTGGACAATCTTTCATCCCACATGTGAAGTTTTGACATCTGTGGCAGCCATGACTGAATGCAACCCAGGACTTCTTTTTGATATCTGTTAACTATACTTCAAATATCTGTATAACCAAATAATTCATTGATCTTAAATGAAAAAAGTCTCAGATTTTCCTGTTCTCCTTTGTATTCCTGATACTCTTTCATTTCGGAGCAAAATTTCTAGTTTTAAAGTTGGAAAGACTAAAGAATTCAGCCAGTTTACAGCTTCAAAAATAAATGATATGCAGAAGATAAGGCTGTCTTGCAGTAGTAGAATAATAGAATCTTCCCACTGAAATGTACAGTTTCCTCCATTGAATTGTGAAGGGCAGATGATAGAAGAAAAAAAAAAAAAGATACGAGTGATGCTGTCTACCCACTTTTTTTCCCTAAGGAAAGTGTTGAAGATGTTTCAAAAATAATAGGAAAAAAATATTCAATTTTATCTCCATGCAGGGATTCTTATTTTAGAATAGTAGGAAATGGCTATCAAAAATAATAGGAAAAAATAATATTCAATTTTATCTCCATGCAGGAATCCTTATTTTAGATTAGTAGGAAATGGCTTTCTACCACTCTGAAAAGTCTCTTCTTGGCCAAACATCAAAGTCTGGAGCCAGAGATGTAAGCAGAAATGGGGCGGAAAGAGCTCACATGTTGAATCAATCAGCCTTGATTTGAATCAACCTTCCATCAATTACCAGCTAAGTAACTTTAAAAAAGTCACTTAATCTCTCTGGCTTTCTATTTCCCCATCTGGAAAGTAACACATACCTCACAGGTTGTTATTAGGAACAAATAAAAAATTTGTGTCAAGATGCGTGGCACATAATAGGTTTTCTGTAAATGTTAATTGAATAAGAAAATAGCCTTGGTTCAACATATTTTGCCTTTAAGCCAACGACAATGATAGCATTTCATGCATATTGGTTTCATTGCCTGACTACTTAGGCAATGTTATTGAACTTACAGTGTTGTGACATTGTTACACAGGAGAAGCAAACGTTGTCTCTGATGGATGGCAGCTCACACTCTAGAGCTAACACTTCGTATACAATCACAGATGAAAGGAATGACTTGCTAATGTCTATAGCAAAATTCTGGCCAAATATTTGATGTCGAATGTTATTCTCCAGGTGGGAAGGAGCACAATCTTAGCTTGACACCTCAAATAAAGCCCCTTTTTAAGAAAAAATAAATTCTCCTTAGGGAATTTTCTCAAGAATGCTTCTTTTTTCATATCCAATGGCTTTTTTTTTTTTAAGCTTGCAGTTTCTGGAAAAAGCTGTACAATATCAAAAAGCATTTCATTTAATAAAGCATTTATCTGCACCTTTAAAATTCAGATTACTTCATGGAAAGTTACCATATAATTTAAACTTTCTTAGTTAAATCTCATTAGTAATGAATCCATATCATTAATACAATTTCATATGTATTACATTAACCTATAATATAATAACTATGTAATTTATTATGTAGACCGAGACACTTTGGAGAGTGAAAGTGGGCTTTATTAATTATTATCCTGAAGTCATAATGTGAGCATAAGTGGGGCCACATAGGGACAGCCTTGGACAAAAAATGTTTACTAGGCCTACTACTGACACCTAAGAGGACTGCTCACAAGGTACTGTGAAAGGAAGTAGGGCTGTTTAGATTCAGCAGAAGCATATTGTGATTATTTTTCTTCCTGAATTGGGAGATTTGCATGCCACTTTCATTTCAGCATTAACTGTTATTCCAAGAAAAACTCTGTAGACTTAAATTGTCCTCAAATTTTAAGGCAGGAACAGAATTCCTGTATTGATGGCATGGACTTGGATTTATTACTTGCTAATGCATTAACAACAGTAAGTCAATTTATGACTATTAGATTTGAGCTTCATTATATGGTACCTGTTTCACCAAAAAGGGCACATTGCTTTTAGCAAGATATATTGTTAAAAGGGGGTCTGGGCTTTTAAATGAAGTGTGAAGGGAAACAAAGGTGCCTATTTATATATTGTATTCTATAGGTATTTCTGCTTAAGTATTATTTACAGTATATACAGTATATATTTTAATCTATTGAATTTATGTTAGATGCAGTAGAAGTTGTTTTAATATACTGCAATATTTTCTGTCAGGCAATTTGCTTAATAACATAATAACATAAATTACAATCTTCAGTACTTGCTATTATAAGTAATTCACAGCTACTTAAAACTTTCGATAATAGCATGTCCCCCTATTCAGGGACCAGGCAAGATATATTTGTTTCATCTGTGTCTGTCTTTTCCAAGATTTCTATGTTCATTCTGACAATTTACCATCTAGCTACATCTTCCAGCTAGTATATTACTAACACTCTGAAATATTTAAAGAAAAAAACTAAATGGTTGAATTAAAATACAAATCGAATTAATAAGTTTGAGTCGTTTTTGGATTAAAACCAGATTCTATGTAATATTTAACACATTTATTCCCAATTACATTTGTGAACACATTTTCTCTTTATATAATTAATTCATTTTATAATCCAAATAATATTTTTAAACTGTTTACTATGGAGCACTATTCCCATTTTTGGGATGTCAATGTAAGATGGGCCTTGTCTCAAAGAGTTGACTCTAATACTTTCATTATTTAGAACAAGGCAACAGAGTAAGAATTATGACTATATATTTGCATTATATGTGCTCAGGGTTCAGAAAAAAATGCGTAAAATATGCAAATTCTAAAATTATTTTGAAGTCTAGCTACTTAAAAGGTCAAATAAGTGTTTTCTTCTCGAGAGCTAATGGAGATGGAGAAAAATCCACCAAACAAAGAGGTGCAATTTGGCCCTGCATTCATTAGCTTCTCCACACACTGTCACCTACCCAGACAAGAGGAGATACTTACCCAATGTTCCAGGGGCTACCTGAATGAGTACATTTCCCAAAGAGGCAACCCTGTTTTCTGCTAGTATTTAATTATTTCTTTTTCTCCCCTCTATTAAACAAAGGTCTTGGTGAATATTCTTTGCAAAATCCACTTATTTCCCTCTTTCATGAATGTTAGATTGTACAAAATTTTATTGCAGAGTAAAACATCTTTAATGCAAATACTCTAATGTAACACATTTTGTATGAAGTATTGTGAATTTAGGTATTTCATTTACAAAGAGCCACTGACTAAAAACACTTAGCAATTGATACTCTCTCTGTGAAGACCAAAAAAGGCATATAGAAATTCATCAAATTAATAAATATTTGGGTAATTATGACTTATCCAAGATTGATTTCAAATAGTATACATTGTTTTCTGCAATTCAATTTTGAAATTTATAGCTAAATTCAATGAGACCAAGTAGGGCATTTGAAATCATCATAAACCAGGTGAGAAAAGAACAAATTATCATTTCCAGAATCTTGAAGAATCAAGGATAAAGAGACTAAAAATTAAACATATGAATAATTCAAATAGCCACAAATAAAGAATATAGAAATATATGCCGTGTGAGATTGCACTGACTGTTGTAAACTGAAATAAGCACAAAAATACTTACATGAAGTCAGCATGTGCTCAGGTGAATACCTTATGGATTATAATTTGGGTTTCTTCTGCTTTTCCAAAAAAAAAAGCAGGTCATAAATGAATCTTTCTCTCCTAGGGGAAAAGTCCAGCATCTAGGGGAAAAGTCCAGCATCTATGTCTCCTTCCTGATTATTCATATCCACCAGCATAGAGTAGGAAAATGTGAGTTTACTTGTTAAATTGATAGTTTGAGAGTGACTGCCAAGTTACAATTATTTACTAGACAGGGAGCATTCTTTAAGGAAGCAACACTTTCCCCAGGGAAGCCAGATCCTTCCCAAAGCTGTTCATTGTTGGACTACCCTGTTACAAAAGAATCACATATTTCTTCTTTCTGTGTTATTAACAAATTGATAAATGAACTCAAAAGTCAGAGAGTGATAAGACAGAAATTTCATTAAAACTGGATTAGAGCATTTCCTTGGACCCAAGAAGAAAAATGTGCCTCTCATTCTTCCTCCTCTTACTCCTCACTTTTCACCCAGTGAAGGGCAAAGTCATTGGGCAACCAGTGACACAAGCGTTTCACATCTTAATCTGCCTATTGCAAGCCAATAGTTTTCATTCTTTTGCTATCACACCAATTAGATAAATTATGCTGTTAGAGAAAAGTAGCTGTTTCTATCTCATCTTTCACAGAAGAGTGAAGTCACTGGTGAACGGATGGGGAAGAATGTGAGAAGAAAAGATGGTCAAATTCATAGACATTGAAAAGAACACAGATCCCCTAAAATATGTATAATACTCATAAGAATCAAAAACTTCTTCAATTACATTTGTCTATATTGTACTCATCTCCACCTTCTTTGAACTTTGTATATATGTGTGTATGTGTGTGTATAAGTGTATATACCTTCTCTGAACTTTATATAAGTTCTCCCTCCTTGATAACAGATTATAAATTTCAAAAGAAAGAGAGTGTAGTGTGACAAAAGCATGTGGGCTTTAGATTCTTAGATAATTGGGTGCACATACCAGTTCTGCAACTTAGCAGGTATATAAGTCCTCGGCTAAGTTACATTTGAGGCTCAGTCTTCTCATCTATAAAATAGGCCTAACTCTGAGGATTATTATAAAGCATACAAATAATGATGCATACAAAACATGTACTGAATAGCCCTTTAGACACATTGATGTTCATGTTTTTCCCACAGAAGAAGGCATTTGTTATCTATTTTGAACTCTGCACAAAGCATGATCTTCTGCACATTGTTAAGAATGTCAAATGACTTAATGAATATTAAGTTCCTACTTCCCTGCCTTGATAAGTCACTACAAATTAGGTAATACTTTTGTATGTATGGTTTTGAAATATTTACACAGTTTGGTGTTTGGATATTCTTGTCTGGTAAATCAGAAAAAAAATCTACTTTTAAAATCAGGTGTATTTCTGTAAGACAATGCCAACGCTATTGCAATTCTTTCTAAAAATAATTGAAGACTTATTAATACATTATATTTGGTTAGTTATGTTTGCTAATGTTTAGAAATTGCATAAATCATCAAGAGAGTGATTATGCTAAACTTGAAGTGGAGGTGGTAGGAGTAGTATGGAGGAAGTGAGCTCATAACCAAATTGAAATGTTTGTGAATTGAATGTGCTCATTATTACGTTAAGAAAATGGAAGGATAAAATGGGATGTCATTTTAACATCCCACATGAAGCAAACAATTGATTTAATATATTCTGGTTAGAATGTGTCAAATGAGTTTCTGCCAGAAGTAAATTTGGTTGTTTCCTTTATGGGCAAAGAAACACACTCAATGGAAATGCCCATTGTTACTTTGGGTTTTCAAAATACATTGTGATAACTGCAGAGATGTCACAAATAGAACTGGATTCTATTATTCTGATGGTTTATATAATAAATTATATGGAATTACACTTATTGAAGTGAGAAATGCAGTACTTAATCATATATGAATAACAGAGCCATTTTTATCCTTCAGTACAAGATATTTTTTAAGAAATTGTTAAAGATTTTAAAATAGACACTTTGAATTGTTAATAGACGTCATAATATAAAACTCATTTCAGCCTTTCAAAATAGATATAAAATCTGGTTTTAGTTTCTTAACAATTGCAAAGACAAAAAACCTGTCATTTACATATTCTAAATGTTTCCTTTCAGTCTTATTAATTCTTAGATCTCATCCTATGAGAATTGATCCCAGTAATATCACATGACACAGGAATTTCACAACTAAAGTTGATGGCCCTATATTAAGGATTTCTCAATAGTGAGGTAGTTAAATACAATATTGCCTACTCTTGTAGTATGAGGATTACCACTATTATAAATAACTGTGACCACCAAACCACATTGGATCAATTAGAAGAAAAGTGTTACCAGACTATGAATACCTACTGTAAGGTTGAGTGAGTAAGGCACAGGAGACTCTTTAAGAGATTATGAAGGTGGGATGGAAATCTAAAGCATTCCAGAAGTTGCCATACGGTTTGAGAATATAGATATGTATTCATTAAAAGTACCTTACACAATTGTACTGATGATTCTTCCTATTACTGAGAAGTAACAAACAGAATTACCATAGGAAGAATTGCTACCATAGTGGAATGGCAGTGAATGAAAAATGGTTTCCATTGCTTAAAGCTTCCTAATTCATAGGCATATTCTTTTTAAGTCTGTATATATTACCCTTACAATGTCCACACAAAATGGAACATGGTTAAAAAGAGTATATTTAGAAGCATAAGAAACATCTCATTTAGGATGCTTTAGACTAAAACAGAAGAACTAACTCCAGATGGTCCAAATATAACCCAAAGCCCAGAGGTAGAGAAGTCCCAGGGAAGGTTGATTCAGTGGTCCAAGGATGCTACCAAAGATTCTTTTTTCTTCCCCCTGTATTGCTAAACTACCAATCCTTTGGGCTGATATCCAAATAGCTCTATCATACTAATATACCATACCCTCAAGAAGTCTGCACAAACTAATTATGACATTCCCAAAAGGAACTAAAGGACTAGAAGATAGTATATTCCCCTATCTCCCACCAAAAAAAAAAAAAGAGGAATTTTTCCTGGTACCTCCGTCAGACTTTCAAGTGACATTGGCTAGAATTGCATTATGTGCTTATTTCTAAAACAAGCACTAGAAAAGGAAATGGCATGACCTTCATTTGCTTAAAAGAATCAAGATTTGCCCCCTGCAAGTAAAGAGAGCTCTATGATAGAAGCAATATATACATACCAGGTTTTAATTCTATTTAAATATTGTTCAAATTCATTAAAAGTATTTCATGTATGAACCAAAATTTGCATTTTCAGAACAAAAACATGCATCTCTCAGTTTATATTATTTCATTGTTTTAAATTTTAAATATAAATAAAAACTCAAAGCAAGCACTTCTTGGAAGAGAAGAGGGATGATATGAAGAGTTGAGAAGCATCCCATTCTCTCTGCTTCTTTTACTTGGGACCAATCAATCAATTCTCCATAGGAGAGATGTGGATTCTTTGTAAATATCAGAATCATATCAGTAATTTTAGTGATTCCAGGTAGCTTAAGTGACTTCTTAAGCTCAGTGACCACCATTAATATTCCCCTGTTGGCTATTTTGACCCTGTTCACTTTTAAAAAATGCCTTCATTTTTGCTAATCATAAGATGAGTACTTAGTCAGTGGTGGCGGAGGAAGTCAGAGTGGTGGGAGCAGTCTACTCCAAGTACAGACTTAAGAGTACACATGGTCTGTAAAAACTTTAAAAGCAATAAGAAAACTAAGTAAAGGTCTATCTTGTTTTCTTATCACTATCCACCAGAAATATTTTAAATGTCGGTAATAAAGTACTTCTCTTAGAAAAAATTATTTATTGATTTCATTTCTAAGTTGCTTTGGTTACTGCTGAGTTTCAATAATATATTTTAAGCTTCAAATTAGCATATTTTATTACTTATACTTTCATAAATCTTGTATTTTACACAGAAATTAATGCAGAGAACTCCTAGTTGGGCAATCAGTTCCAGACTCCACAGACCCCAGGACACAAACTCTATTCAAGAATCTGTTTGTGATGGTTCAGAAGTTTTCAAGCTTGCTTTGGGTACAAACTGTATTTCCAACACTTCTAGCCCTATATATACCTGTCAATGATATTATACTTATAAATACAAAAGTCCTTATTATGGATGAAGAAATAGATTAATTAAAATTGTATAGATTATATATTAGCATATGATATTATACATCATTATAAAAACGAAGAAATAGGACTTGAGCTTTTTTTCAATTTTGCCACTGTTAAAATCACTTGAATCTTTACCTTTGGGAACTAGCATTCACAAAATGGTGAATACTAACTCTTATCCTGATTTGCTACAAGAAACTAGTCTAGAATGAGCAGTGTAATTATTAGCACTACACTCTTTCTATGCTTCACACACTACAGAATCTTCATCTTCAAGTCTGTAATTCCTCAAAGTACATGGATCAACATTTAGGCTTCTGGAGGCCAGCAGTGAACGAGGCAGTGCAAAAATGACCATAATTCACAGTCAACCAGCCAACATGTGTAGCTCCGGGCACATGTTATTATATTCACTGGATGTTAACAGGATTTCTAGTTAGATTGAGAGATGAGAAACTCTTTAAAAAGCTCATTCTCTTTGGTAGAATGATTTATTTTCCTTTGGATAGATACTCAGTAATGGGATTGCTGGGCTAAGTGGTAGTTCTGTTTTAAATTAGTTGAGAAATCTCCAAGCTGATTTCCACAGTGGCAGAACTAATTTACATTCCTACCAACTATGTATAAGTGTTCTCTTTTCTCTGCAGCCCCGCCAGCATCTGTTATTTTTTGACTTTTTAATAATAGCCATTTTGACTGATGTGCAATCTCGTGGTATCTCATTGTGGTTTTGCTTTGCATTTGTCTAGTAATTACTGATTATGAGCATTTTTTAAATATGTTTCTTGGCCGCTTGAATGGCTTCTTTGGAGAAGTGTCTGTTCACATCCTTTACCCACCTTTTAATGGGGTTGTTTTTTTGCGTATCGATTTAAGTTCCTTAAAGATTCTGGAAGTTACATGCACTCATATGTTCATCGCAGTGCTATTCACAATAACAAGGACATGGAATCAACTGGGGTGCCCTTCAACAGTGGACTGGATAAAGAAAATGTGGTACATATATGCCATGGAATATCACATAGCCATAAAAAAGAATGAAATCATATCCTTTGCAGCAACATGCATGCAGCTGGAGGTCATAATCCTAATCGAATTAATGCAGGAACAGAAAACCAAATACTGTATGTTCTTACTTATAAGTGGGAGCTAAACATTGAGTGCACGTAGATATAAAAATTGGAACAACAGGCACTGTAGAAGGGGGAAGGGAGGAAGGAAGGTATGGGTTGAAAAACTAGCTATTGGGTACTATGCTCACTACTTGGGTGAGAAATTCATATCTCAAACCTCAGCATCATGCAATATAACCATGTAAAAAATCTGCACATGTAACCCCTGAATCTAAAATAAAAGTGGAAATCGTTTTTATTTTTGTATTATTTATTTATTTATTTTTATTTTTATTTACTTATTTTTTGAGATAGAGTCTCGCCCTGCCACTGAGGCTGGAGTGCAGTGGCGCAATCTTGGCTCACTGCAACCTCTACCTCCTGAGTTTAAGCGATTCTCCTGGCTCAGCCTCCTGAGTAGCTGGGACTACAGGCACACAGCATCATGCCTAGCTAATTTTTGTATTTTTAGTAGAGACGGGGTTTCACTATGTTGGTTGAAGGCTGAGGCTGACGGATCACCTGAGGTCAGGAGTCTGAAATTGTTTTTAAAAAGTATGTTTTGATATAAAGCCTTTTTTCAATTTTTTTTAAAGTCTAATTCTTGACAGAGCAACAGAAACAAATAAAGTAGAAGCCCAAAAGGAAATTTGTCATTACTAAAACCAACCAGGCTCAGGTGACTTTTCTTCTCCATTCAGACGGGAACTTAAATGAACAAAAATATCTTTAACAAATTGAAGACAACTTAAAGATCAGTTTATTTATTCATTCAACAAATATTTATTAACTGGCTGCCACATATCCATCATTGTTCTAAATTCTGCAGATATAGTAGTCAATTAAGATCCTTCCCTCAGTGAAGACTTAACTTTGAGTGGAGAGAACAAAAAATGGACAAATAAAATATATAGTATGTCAAATGATAAGTGCTATGAAAAAAAATGACTACTAGATTCAGCATGCATGTATACTGACTTGCTCTTTAAATTTTAAGAGTTTTAGGAAATGTCTACAGTATTAGTTTTCTTCTCATACTGCTATAAAGACATACCTGAGACTGGGTAATTTATAAAGAAAAGAGGTTTAACCAGCTCATGGTTCTTGGGGCTATGCAGTTTTCTGCTTCTACAGAGGCCTCAGGAAACTTACAACCATGGTGGAATGCGAAATGGAAGTAGACAGGAGAGAGTTTCAGTTTTAGTCTTAAAAGAAAAAAAAATACATCTCTAACTAACCCCAGTCCTTGTGTTAGCAACAACTACTCCTTTTGACTGGTTAGGGAATGAGCATCTGTGACATGGGCTTGATGAAGTCATGGCCAATGTTAACTTTAAATAAGTTTGAAACTATTGTTGATACAAAACAAATAAATTGCAGAGGATTTTTTCCAAACATCCCATAAATGCATAGAATTGAAAGCAAGTTTCATTTCCAATAGTTAAAGAGTCTAATGTATCCACTTTTAATTATAGCCAAGATGTTTACCATCTTATTTGATGTTCTGTGCTGTGAACTGTTGGGAATCTATTAGCTCAGTATTTTGAATTTCAGATAATGTATCCTGTGTTTTTTTTTTAATAAAGGTTTATCTGACCATTAAATTACAAAAGCTTTGAACCCTGTGTGTAAAGAAATAAAATCAGTCTTAGGAATTTATCTTAGTAACTGGTGATTTTCAATTTATATTATTAAACAGTACTTGACAGTTTTCTATTAGCTTTCAAGAGATTTAACTTAGTTTCATCTTTGTTTATTGTGAAACTGGACTTCCAGGCTCATCAGAGTTGGTTTGCAGGGTTCAGCTATAATTTCAGACTATGGGTAAATGTAGAAAAACACTAAAACAAAGACTATTTTTTTTGTAACATGGTTGAATTTTCATATATTCCATTTGACATCATTTATCTTCCCTCTGATTTCTTTTCAATGACAATCTTTTGACAAGACTAGAAATCTACTGTTGAGGTAAAGATAAATCCAGAATATAGATGATGAGTCATATTTTGTACATAGGTCAGCTTATTATAAAAACTTGTATATAAACTCGGTAGCATGTAACTGTTCTATAAAAAGACCAGGAGATTGATCATTGAAAAATTACATCTGTGTGGAACGATTTCTGAATGGGATCAGAAATACTGAGGCAATTCTTAGTATCTTCACTAGAACTAGAATCATTCCCATAGAACACCATACTAACTTTAAAGAGTGATATTTGGTATGAAAAAAGACATTCACCACAACTAATGAACTATGGTATTGTTAAGAAACTAATTTCTAAAAACAAATATATGCCAATGAAAAGCACACAACTTCTCAGAAATCTTTGAAATGTTATAGAACTTTATCAAACACTTTCATAACACTGGTCCATAGTTTGGTACCAATTGAGTTGGAATTTTATAAGCATGTATATGGACATATAACACACATATATGTATGGATGGATATATAAAATTGTGTTTTCTCAGTGAGGGGGAGTATTATCCGCTTCTATTATTAGTGTGGTAGACAGCCTCCAAGATGGTCCCCCAATCTCTCCATATAGTAGTAAGCCCACATGGCTATTGAGTATTTGAAAATGAAATCTCACAAGTTTACAAGCTTAAGGAGAGATGCTAACATCAGAGCAATGCAAATTAGAACAGCACTTAGAATGTCTTAAACCTTGTTTCTCTGGCAAAATTAGAAAGCTACTAAATGAGAGGCATTGGTGGAAGGGATGGAAATACAGATACCCTCATGCACCTGTAGTGCCTACATTGTCAGAACATACGTATGTGTGTATGTGTGTGTGTGTGTGTGTGTGTCTGAGTGTATATATATACATAATATATAAACACACACATATACATATATACATATATAAATTATACATACAAACACAAATACTATACATAAGTATTTGCATATGTACTATATATTACACATACATTTCTATTTTGTTCTGTCCTACTGTTTTCTTCATTTGTTTTAGGCATAGTCATACAGCCAAATATATTTAATGTATTAATCGTTGGTGCAATAGAGATCAAATTACAAGATTTAAAAAGATCATATTAATAATATTGTACTCTCCTCTTGTCTGTTGAAAATATATACCTGTAGTCTTCAGACTTGAACATCTTGACTGCATATAAAAGCCCTGACGCACACATTTTTTCCTCTATGTGGTCATGCAAATATTCCAGCTTTTAATTCTTCTTTAAGATTATCCTAGGCCAGGTGCTATGGCTCATGCCTGTAATCCCAGCACTTTAGGAGGCTGAGGTGGGAGGATCACCTGAGGTCAGGAGTTTAAGACCAGACTGGCCAACATAGTGAAACCCTGTCTGTACTAAAAATACAAAACTTAGGCAGGCACGGTGGTGGGTGCCTGTAATCCCAGCTACTCAGGAGGCTGAGGTATGAGAATCACTTGAACCCAGGAGGCAGAGGTTGCAGTGAGCTGAGATCATGCCATTGCACTCCAGCCTGGGCAATAGAGCAAGACTCAGTCTCAAAAAAAAAAAAATTATCCTAGCTATTCTTGGCCCTTTGCTTCTCTACATAGACTTTAGAGTCGATATGTCAATGTCCATAAAATAACCTGCAAAAGGCTTTCATTGAAATAACATTGAATCTATGAATAATTTTGGGGGGACTTGGCCACTTTATAATATTGAATCCTATAATCCATAAAGATAGAATACCTCTTCATTTTATTATATTATCTTTAAGAACTTGCTATACTATTTCATAGTTTTTGGTGTGCAGTTATTAACTGCATTTCAGTAGCAAGTATTCCTAGCTATTTGATGTCTTTGTATAAGATACTTTTTTAAAATTTAAAGTTTTATTTTTAAGTTAATGGTATATAGAAATACAATTGAATTTTACATATTGACTGTTAATCCAGCAACTTTGTCAAATTTAACTGTTAGTTCTAAGAGCTTGTAGATTATTTTGTTTTAATCCTGTTAAACTATATTTTTATTTTGTGTTTATTTTTCTTATTTCTACATCCACATGCTTTATGTTCATGTCAAGTGTCTAGTGTTCCTTGTACTCATTCTAATTTTCTTTCATTATATTTTTTACTTTTATTTTAATTCTATAACTTACTTTTCATCTATTTCAGTTTTTTTTCTATCACTTCCCTGAGTTCTTATATTTCTACTTTGTAATCTTCCTTCATACAGGTGATTGTGTCAATAAGATTTTCAATTAATTATAAACTTTTGGTCATACTTTTCATTCATTCTATGGCAACAATTTTCTAGTGAGTACTCAATCTCTTATAAAATTTTATTGTTATTTTTCTTCTTTTTTCTATAGACTCTTAAAATATTTGTATATGCTATGTATCTTCTTTTAAAAAAAAAAATCACTATAGATGACAAGCTTAAAGGTGGCCCTCCCAGTGATCCTGGCCTCCTGGTATTCATGCTCTTATGTGATTTCTTCCCTTGGGTGTAGGTGGGCACTTGAGTTGTTTCTATCCAAAAGACTATGGCAAAAACATTGGGATATATGTGATTACATGATTATGTTTCATAAGATTGTAACCTTTCTTAAGATTGTAACCCATCTCCTTTGCTGGCTTTGAAGAAACATGATGTGAGGCATCATATGGGGAGGGCCATGTGGCCTTAAGCTGAGGGCAGCCTCCTATTGACAGCCAGCTGGAAACAGGCCCTCAATCTCACTGGCACAAGGAACTAAATTCTACTAACAACCACGTGAGTTTAGAAGTAGATCGTTTGCCAGTCAAGCCTGCAGCCCCAGAAACATCTTGACTGAGTTTTTGTGAGACCCAGTGGCAAAAGACCCAGATAAGCTGTGCCTGGACTCCTCATCCACAGAAACTGTGAGATAGTAAACATGTGTTGTTTTTAGTCACTAAGTTTGTGGTAAGATTGTTACACATCAATAGAAAACAAATGCAATCACTCATTATTGCAGTTTGCTGAAAAATATTACAGTCTTACTTTACAAAATATACTTGACCATATATAAAGTATATTTATATATTATATAGAAAGTATATTTATATATTATATATAATAATATTATTATATATAATAATATTACACTCTTTATAAAATATACTTGACTATAATATATAAATATACTTTATATATTATATATACTATATATAATATATAATTATAATAAATATATATAATATAATATATAATATAATAAAGTATATTTATATATTTTATAATATATAAAGTATATATAATATACTTTAACATATAAATAAATATATAATATATAATATAATATATAAAATATATAAATATACTTTTATACTTTATATATTATATAGAACATATAAATATACTTTATATGTTCTATATAATATATAATATAAAAATACTTTACTATATAAAATATACTATTTACTTTATAAATATAATGGCCCCTCCAGTTGCTGCTACCAGAAGGAAACTGCTGCTTGCACACGTCAATCTTTGTGCAGCCTCACTTCCTCCATTTCTCTGAGTCAAACCAGTCCCTCCAGCTATAACTCCATTCCTATACTCTCTGCTGCAAACAGGGCTATAGCTTATGCATATTTTCCTTTATGCATATTTTGGCATTGACGGATCATACCTGTTTTTTAGATTCACTGAAAATTAAGTTCAATTATTTTTTTGTTCAGTTTTTAACCTCTCCTTGTTGCTTTTGGATGATTCCAGGAAGAGAGCAAAAAATACTGACGTAAATAGTCATATTCATCCTGGAGGTTCAGACTGGCATTATGAGATGACTGCTCTGGCAACCCTGCGGAGGATAAATGAAAGGGAGCCCAGTAGCCGTAGCTAAACCAATTAGGAAAATGCTGCAGTGGTTCAGGTGGTAGACAACAGTAGTCTAGACCAGCATAGAATCTGTAAAATCAGAATTGGAGTCAAAGGGGAAATGAGTAAGATAATTTGGCTTAGGTATCTGATCTGCATCATACTCCAATCAGCATCTCATATTACCACTGTCGTGTACTTAAAACAATGATTCCTGGAATTTTCCATCAACTCCAGCTGTTATTGTATGCAAATTGCTATTTTCTCATTGCCAATAAGTACTCACCATCAGTTATATTAGTACTAGGCTAAAATATAAATGAAATAGTAAATGAAATGCTTGCAAGCTATGATTCTCAGACTTTTCAACCAGTGACACAAAAAACAAATTTTGAAACACGCAAATAGGAAAATCTGCTCTTGTTGTTACTACTGCTATTATTACCATTACTAATACTTATGCACATATGTTTCAAATGCCAGTGAAGCCACATGATTTATAGTTAACAGTAGATGGAATGGAAAGAAATAGGGTTGAGAGTAAATGCCCACTCCTGTCTTCAAGCGCAGGATTGTCTGCTCAATAGATCTCCCTTTCACTTTTGTGTGAGGCAAAGTGTGCAGCACACTTATGGAGGCCCTGCCCCATCTTCTGTTTCACATTCAGAACATAAATGAAATTAGGCACCTGTCTAAATTTATCACATTTGTAATTTTTCAGTTTCCTTTACATTTAAGTACACTTACTGCATTCTTCTAGGGTGAATCTTGATTCATGAAATACATTATTCCTTTTGTTTCAAAACAGAGAAATTTTATGTATTAAACTACCAAAGGGATGTTAAGATATATTTATTGTATTAGTCCGTTCTCATGCTGCTAATAAGGATATACCAAAAACTAGTTAATTTACAAAGGAAAGAGGTTTAATTGAATCGCAGTTCCACATAGCTGGGGAGGCCTCAAAATCATGGCAGAAGGCAAAGGAGAAACAAAGGCATAGCTTACATGGCAGCAGGCAAGAGAGAGCTTTTACAGGGGAACTGCCATTTATAAAACCATCAGATCTCCTGAGACTAATTAACTGCCACGAGAACAGTATGGGGGAAACTGCCCCCATGATTCAGTTACCTCCCACTGGGTCCCTTCCATGACATGTGGGAATTATGGGGGGTACAATTTAAGATGAGATTTGGGTGGGGATATAGCCAAACCATATCATTTATTCTTAATTATTTATCTTTGAAAAACTTTGGGAGAATTAACACAAGTTACCAAAAAAGATTCAGGGACAGTCTCTGAAGCAATGATCTTTTGGTGGCTCAGATTCTTCAATTTTTTTCTTCCTTAACTTTGAGGGGTGCAAATGTGGCAGCCATGTTGCTATTGAAGAGCTGAAAACTGACTGTCCAGGGCTAAAGTCAACAGGTGATTCCAATTCAACCCAGTGGATGATTTCTTCTATGTTCTAAAATTAGGACAGCCTAGCTTTCTCTTCCTCGCTCTCTTTCACATTTTGTTTGTCTAAAACTATTATCCACGCAACAATTTCCACCACAGCAGTGGAGGACCCTGGCATGCAAGTGGAGAGGAGAAAGTCAGCAGAAGACAGGACTAAAATATGAAAGAGCCTGGAGAGCATTTTAGTTCCTGGTTTTCATCTTTACCTGCCTTTGGTATCCTATGGCATATCTGTTTTAGTAATTTTCTGCTTAGCTTAAGCTATTTCAAGTTGCTTTCTCTCAGTTGTAACTGAAACAGTCCTAACTAGCATAATCTCCAAGTCATACCCACTGGCACAAGAAAGCGTGGACTGATTGCCAGTATTTTTTTCATACCCTGACACTGGTATAACTGTAGTTTCCCCAGAGCACCTGGGATCATACCTCTGGGGGGAAATGGACATAACACGGGACTCTGCCTTTTGCCTTCTTCTGATTTAACTTTCTTAGTAGTCGCTGTGCCAGTCCAGGATCTCCTAGGCCTACCATATTCTGCAGTTGGCTCAGGCTTGGCTCGTTTATTAAAACCGTCTTGTTTTCTGTCCTCGCCTAGCCTAAGTTATTTTTGCTACTTTGCCTAGAGGAAGGGAGAAAGGAACTAATGGGCAGAAAAATTAGGAAAAGTTAAAAAGTGTGGAGAATGGAAGATGTAAGAAAAGTAAATGATAAAGAGGGAAGGAATGCCAAAGCAACCAGAAAGGGTGGGGTTAGAAATAAATAAGGAAAATAGGAGGAAGTTGATAAGAAAAGTGAATAAATAAGATGAAAGAATATGCAAAAAACCACATCTACTTGAAATATATTAAACTGCATTTTGATTACACCTTCCTCTTCCAGCTTCCCTTTTTCTCCAATATTTCAGTGAAAAGATGTTGTTCCTTACTCACCCTTTTATCTTTGTAGGTGTTCACACCTTGTTTACCTTTTCTACTGCCTCTAAATATGGTCACCCCAGCCCTTCTCTCTAGCCCATGGTCCTGACTGAATATTAGAGTCTCCTGGGAAATACTGAAAAATATGACATCTGGGCTCCCCATAAGACCACTTATATCAAAATCTTTAGGAGTATGACCCAGCATTAATATTTTTAAAAGCTACCCAGCTAAGTTTCAACACACTTCCTGCTTCCAGTGATCAGAACCATATAGTAAAAGTTCTCTCAATATTACATTTATTTTGCCTCAAATTTATTTAGGTGTTGTCATCTTTTTTTCTCTGTGATCTTGGAGGAAAACTGTCCCATCTTCTTTGGAAGATAGTACCTCTATGTCTACTCCTGATTCCACAACCCATGCCTCCATCTGCAAACTTGCTATATTATTACTATTCTTTCTCATTTTATCTTCTCCCATCCTTGGCTGAAAAACTGCTTTTCATTAAGGAAAACTTCTCTTTACTTCCTCTGCAGGTATCAGTTCTGTTTCTTCTTTATCTTGACCATTAAATTTCTTCCTACATTCTCACATATTGTTTTCATAATTCATGTTTCAGTTGAGGCTTCATGTCCAACTGCAGTGACACTGTTCACTCAAGACCACTGGTGACTCCCCAGGGTTCAGATGCTGTGACTCATTCCAGTCCTGGTTCACCCCATTCTTTCTGCACTATTTGACAGTGCCGCCCTTCTCGTCCTCCTGAGACTGTATCCTAGCTCTCTCATCTTAGGTGAAAATGTTCCCCTTGCCTCCCTATACCAGTCTCCCAAAGTTCACTCATATTTCAAATCTCATTTCAGACTTCTCATGCATGAAACTCTTATGTTTTAGAATTAACCTATACTCATATTAACAGTAATCCCTCCCTTTATAATTAATCATTTTAGGTATTCTAAATATTGCCTTAGAAACACTTACATCTCATTTGGTAACAAAACTTTGAGGAAAAAAATGCCATAAAGCCAAGAGGTCTGGGAGAAGCATTTGGATGTGAAGAGTAAGGAAGGAGTAGGGGTCAATGGTGTTTCCTAGGTGTCTAGCTTCAACAGATGACCTTTGACAAGAAGCATGTTAGGGGAGCTAGAGATAAAAATCATTACATTTTATAGCATGCTGTATGAGATATAGCTGTGTACCATTGGCATGGACTCATAAGAGTGACAAAAACATAAAAGTTTTTGTTGTAGTTGGGGCCACGCAAGTAGGTCTATTTCTCTATTTAAAGCATTCAAAGTAAGAAAAGGTCAAGGAGAAAAGTCTGCAAACCAGTATTTGAGAATCAGACAAAAGAAGAGATTCCAACTTCTATTTAGATAAAACTCATATAATGGATAAAATCAAATGCTTTGAAATATTTGATACCATGTTGATAGATTACAACTTTCATTATATGTATCTTGTATACAAAGCAGGGCACAGCATCATAAAATGAAATTAAATCAATCTAGCAGGAGCTGCATTCCTCAGGGATTCACTCTAGTGTCCCTACGACCACCCCATCCCCAAGAATCTTTGCCTTGTGGCTCTGCCTGTGAAATTTGAAGTTTTCTATTTCATCCAATGGAAGCTAGAATTTTTAAATATTTGGTTCTGTCTCTTAGGCCCTTAAGCTCAAGGATAGCAAGTACTAGGAGCATGAAGCACCTGTTGAAAATATTACATGTTTGCTGGAGAATTCTTGCAAGGTAACAACAACAACAATAACAACTGCTATAGGGAAACTTGCAGAAGAGATCATGCGTTTCTGTAAATACCTGTAACACTTCTTGCTACAATGTGTTATATAAAATAAGTAGAAACTCTTAAAAATACATAAGTCATTTTTCATTATTATCTTACATCATGCCAGGAACCCCATCTACTCCTCTGTGTTCCTTGAGTGCACTCAGTTTCGTTTTCAGCAGAAGTTGTGTCATACACTCACTGTGCAAAGCTGACAGTCCCTAACATCATTTGTTTTGATGAGGGTTAAAGAAAGGGTATTGTTGTTTCATAAAAACAATGTTGAATAAATTTATAAATAACTTTGTAATGATGAATTGTTTATACACTGCTGTTGAATTACATGCGGGCAAAACATCAATAAAATTTCTAAAAATTCATTTGGCAGAATTGCTTTTCAAGTCTCTCAACTCTTTTACTTAAAATAAAAAGCTAGACTGGACACTAGACATTGCATAGCCCATCCTTTGACATCTTTCCAGTTCTCTTAATCCTTGATGTAACTCTGTTGAATTAGTGTGAAAATAACCAATAACAGGCTCCTGGTTATACATTTGTATGTGTGTAAAATGTGTGTGTACATTTGTATGTGTGTAAAAGGGAGAGAACATTCAGGCATAGAGTCAATTCTGCTCTTTACCATGTTTTTCAAACTAACAGCAGGTATGGCCCACTAAACCTTCATTGTTTTAAATTTAACAAGGGGAGGGGATTTCTTCCATTTCTTTATAAAAGTTCTCATAAAAGACGAACTCCATTGAGACTAGGTCTAAATATTAGGTATATCTGTTTTTGCCCTTCTCCAAAATGCATATTCTATTAGTAACTGGACAACAAAAAGATTTTAGAAGATTAAGTTTACAAACCCTTGGGGAGGAAAATGACTTGTGCTACCAGGCACTTAACTAAAGCAGCTCTGGCAGGGACAATTATATTATAATCTATCACCAGAGAGCACACAAAGATGCAGAATACATAATTATCTTATCAATAAGCAGAGAGCAGTGGCAAAACTCATTTGAATTAAGAGCCAAAAATGTAAGTCTCAAGGAAATTATAAGGTGTCAAGCAATCAGTAATATTGAGATGAATTTTACTGGGATGCAGGAAGGTTTGCCTAAGAATGAGGAAAAAGCAGAATTGAGAAGAACTTCTTGAAATATGGCCCTTACACCAAGTACGAGGCAGTGATGATCTGTCTACCCTAGAGGGAAAGATGTCATTCTTAAAAGGACTCAATGTAAGGTGCAGGAAAATAAGGCCTGTTGAAGTCTGAGGGTAGAGGAAGAGAAGTGACAAAAATTCTGTAGCACTCCAGACCTTACACTAAGCATATCTTTCTTACACAATGACAAGCTGTCAATAAAAAAAATACAAAATACATGAAAAAGTGAGAAAATATACCATTAAGAAAAAACAATCAAAAGAAAACTAGGTATGTGTATTAGTCCGTTTTCACACTGCTGATAAAGACATACCCAACCGAGACTGGGCAATTTACAGAAGAAAGAGGTTATTGGACTCACAGTTCGACGTGGCTGGGGAGGCCTCACAATCATGGCGAAAGGTGAAAAGCACTTCTTACTTGGTGGTGGCAAGAGAGGAGAGAGTTTGTGCAAGGAAACTCACCTTTTTAAAACTATCAGATCTCGCAAGACTCATTCGCTATCAAGAGAACAGCAAAGACCTGGCCCCGTGATTCAATTATCTCCCACTGGGTCCCTCCCACAACACATGGCAATTATGGGAGCTACAAGATGAGATTTGGATGGGGACACAAATCGTATCAGCATGGAACACATATTAAAATTAAAAATAATAAATATTTATTGTTATTATTTACCAAGAGCATCATCAGCTCAATGGTCCTCTATCTATGCAAGCAGTGGTTCTCAAAGCATGGTTGGAAGACCAACAGCAACAGCATCTTTTGGGAACTTATTTGAAATGCAAATTTTTTGGCCCCACTCTAGACCTACAGAAGCTTTGAGGAAGGCTCAACAATTTGTGTTTTGACAACCCTCCCAATGGTGGTGATGCATACTAAAACTTAAGAACTACTAAAACCACTATATTAAATAAATTGAATTCATCATCATAAACAAAGATAACACTAGGCCCAAACACCTCCCCTCATGAATATTATTAAGTTTGCAGAATGAAATAATAGAAATGATACAAAAACATTTTGCAAAAATTAAGGAAAAGGAAATGGTTTTGAACTAATTTCAGGAGGCCTGCATAACCCTACTACTAACCTGATGAAAATATTGTAAGGAAAGGAAGCCATAGACCAATATTCTACGTAAAATTATATATGAAAATTTTAAACAAAATACTAGATAATTTAATCTAATAACAGAGAAAAAGATAATACATCATGACTAAGTGAAGTTTATTCCAGAAACACCAAGTTAGATTGACAACACAAAATCAATCAACCCTGCAATTAGTAGTATTAATGAAATAAATAGAAATATTATATGATCCATTTAATAGGTGCAGACAAGGCATTTGACAAAATTCAATACCTGTTAATGTTGAAAATCTCCCATCAAAGTAGGACTGGAAGAGAAAATTCTAAATCTGATCAAAGAAATCTATTAAAAAACCAACAATTAACTTCCTACGTAATTGTGGAATGTTATACTTAGAACTCTTAGAACAGTTCCCGGCACAAAACAAGTACTACGAAAAAGATTGCAAAAAAAGTA
This sequence comes from Homo sapiens, assembly GCF_000001405.40. NCBI lineage: Eukaryota > Metazoa > Chordata > Mammalia > Primates > Hominidae > Homo > Homo sapiens. The sequence continues at coordinate 93,951,708 of NC_000007.14, read as the reverse complement.
ATTACTCAAATTTTTCATTCATCTTGTCATAAATGCTACAAGTAACTACATGCTGTAAAACTTTATGACATGATATAAAGTAATTAAATTTTATCCTGGCAAAATTAAATATTCAATAAATATTTTTCTTAATTTAATGGCATTCTGAATATTTTAAGACAGGAAAAGAGAGATTTTGAATCATAAAAAGTTTTAAACATTTTCATTATTTTCCTTCTCTCTAAAGAATGGATAATGTTTTTCTATTTTCATAGACTGAAAATGTTTGCAGCAGCAATACACGTTCCCAACTGTGTGATCATGTGTTTGCATGTATCTGATCTGTTATTCACATCAGGATTCCTTTTTATCTTGTCCTACTTCATGTATATGTCTGAATGAAGCCTGGTCTTTCCATGCAGCATCAGAGGTCAGTAAAACACATACATTTAGGTGGTGACTCAGTGGTTCCAACTGGACCTTAGTGTCCCAGTCATGTTTCCAACACAGACCTTCAAATTCAAAAGCTTATTTAAAGAACTGCAGTTATTTTTCCACTTCTGTTCAGGTTTCTGAAGGATGAAGGTATTTTTTCCTTAAAATGCCATCTTGAGTTATGAGCTACCCCTAACTTTATTTCAAGCTTTCTGAACTTGAGTCCTCTCATCAGAAGAAAAAAGAAAACCCACCTTTATCCATAAAAGGAGGAGGAGACTGAGTCAAAATAAGATTAGGCAATTTAAACTGCTGCAGCCAGTAAGGGCCAGAGCTGAGATTTGAACCCAGGTAGATAGGGCCCAGACTTTCAGTTCTTAAACATTGTATATACTGCCACTCAAATTAAAATCATTTGCTTGATGTCTTCCATAAGTTGTAGGTTTCACAAAGTCATCAACCATTTACCTTGTTCACAGGACCTACCTAGTACCTAGATTTCCAAGAAACAGATGTTGAATAAATGAATCATGTCAGGTAGCAATTATCCCTAATCTGCAGATGAGGAAACTGATATTTACAAAGCCAAAATAATCTAGTCAGAATCAAACAACTAATACACACAAAATTTGAACCTGAACCACTCTGAATTCAAATCTTTTCCTCATTCTTTTTCATACCACACCACAATAACTATTCTCTAGAAATCTGAAAATCTTCAAAAAATGGATAAACAAGAGGAATGCAGTTGGGGAGGATTTGTCCCCTTGAAGGATGTATATTAAATCACATCTATCATGAGGCCTTTAAGAGTACTTTATAAAAAGAGATACTCATCGTCACCTCCTGGTGATGGCAAGGGCCTTGAGGTCCCAGATATGATAATGACTATTGTGATGATGATGATGATAATGACCGAAATAATAATAATAATAATTCCTAAAATAAAGAATTAGTCTTAGTACCAGAAACAAAAGAGACTGAAGTTCTACTCATGGAGCGTAATGTTGTTTACCTCAATTAGGCCATTAGGCATCATGCATGTAAACTTTGATGTATTCAGTAAAAGAGATCTACTCTTTTCACATACAGAAAATTAACTAGGCAAGTGAAAAATTCACTCAATTCAGCCATAACACAACAAATATCGATTTAGTATTGTCACTAAAATAGCACTTCACAATCTAATGGACAGTTTTTTAAAAAAATTTTAAGCTTTTTACTTTGTATGTATCTTGACGCTGCATGAAATATCCTTAAAGAGGAAAGGGATACGTTTAAGTTAAGGAAGGAAAACTGGACTGAAAGATATCAATACAATTGTAATAAAAAAATTCAAAGGAAGTAAATCAATGTGCTCATATTCTTTACAGATTCATAGCTCAAAATGGAAAAATTCACATTTTAGCAGATGGCTAATTATTAGTGTAACAGGAACAGCATTCATGTCATGAACAACAAACTCAGTAAGCCATTATCTTAATAGTGATGTTCAGTGTAGTTCTATCCTGTTACATTCAATTGTTTTCTTCTTAAAGAAGGAAATTGAAAAAGAATTGGAAAAGCAGACATTTGCTATCATTCAGGGTTAGCTGCAGGCACAGCCACAGAGCATATTGACGTAAATAATGGACACTTACTGTCCAGACAAGGGGGTGACTCACTCCCAGACTGGCTCTCTGGATTGAATTGTAATTACTAGAAACTTTCACAATTTTCTGCCTCATGTTGTGAATAAAAAGAGAGCACAAATTTATGTTTAATGGTCAAATAAAACATTTGTTGGTTTGAGTAACCTAATCTAATCTTTTGATCAATCTTTTGATCACTAAATGACTAAAATACCATATACTCATTCTTAAAAGTTGCAAGAAAAGGAAATATAATCAGTAAGATATGTGTTGACAACAATCTGTAAACAAAAGACTAAGCTAAAGTATATTGTTCTTACTTTCATCCTTTCTGTTCTTCTTCCCTTCTCTTATTCATTCATTCAACAAATATTTATTGATTACCTATCATGAGTAAGTTTAAGTGTGTAGACACTTGTACTACACATCCAGCCCACATAAGTGAGCTAGCATACCATATTGAAATAGGGCAGTATATGGTGGATAACATCTCAATAATAAGCAGTTCAAACAACCGTGATTGGGGAAGCTAGATAAAAAACAGCTTCCAGATGGGAGTAATCAGGTAAGGCATCAGAGACCCTTCTTGAATCTCATCAGGACTGCCAATCCAATTACACCCCTCCCTTTCTCCCTCTCTCCCTTTTTCCCTCCCTCCCTCCCTCCTTATCTCCCTCCCTCCGTCCCTCCCTCCCTTCCTCCCTCCCTCCCTCCCTCCCTCCCTTCCTTCCTTCCTTCCTTCCTTCCTTCCTTCCTTCTTCCTTTTTCTCTCTTTCTTTCTTTTTTTGTTAAACCTACTGGCCTTTTCTTCCTTCATTTTCCTCTTCACAATATATATTCCACCATTCCAATAACAATCTTGAGGACAGGTGTGGTGGCTCATGCTTGTAATCCCAGAACTTTGGGAGGCAAGAGGACTGCTTGAGCCCAGGAGTTCAAGATCAGCCTAGGCAACACAGTGAGACCCCTATCTTTGCAAAAACTCAAAAAAATTAGCTGGGCATGGTGGTGGACAACTGTAGTCCCAGATGTTTGAGAAGCTGAGGCAGAAGGATTGCTTGAGCTTGGTAGGTCAATGCTGCAGTGTGCCATGATCTTGTCACTGTACTCCAACCTGAGCAACAGAGTAAGACTCTATCCCTGAACAGAAACAAAAACAAAAACAAAAAATCCCCAAAAAACATTCTTGGCCACATTCTAAATGTACTTATGTCCCATATTTTGATCACACTGGTCTTAACAAACCAGTCCTTAATAAACCCACATATTGAGTCTTTCTTCATTTACATTCTTTTCTGGCATTCCAATAATTTTTTTTTCAAATTACTTTGCAATGACATTACTCTGCAATGACTGTTTCAAACCGTTTACATTCTCCTGAAACTCCCATCCCTACTACTTCCCACTTCTTCCTTGGTGTCAGAGGTTGATGTCACTTACTATCTCAAAGGGAAAATAGATGCCATCAATTGGACATTTCTTCAATCTCTAAATCACATGCTCTAAGCCACCAAACACACATGTCTTTTCTCCTCACCCATGTCTACTCTTTGTCTTTTTGCAAGACAGGAGGTGGCCTGCTCCTTGCTCACACTAAATCTCCTGACTTTTGAGCTTATCCTCTCCCCCTATCTTAGGAACTTTACTCAAATGTTTTTTCTCTTTGCATTATCTTCTAACTTTCCCATTAAACCTGAATATTTTTAATGGCTTTTAAGCTACCTCCAGCCACTCCCAAGAAAGAAGATTCGTTCCTCATTCTCTTTCAGCCACAACAAGCTCTCCAGAAATATTATACATTTTTGCTGTCTCCACTTCTTCATCTCTTGATCACTAGCCAACACTAATCTGGCTTGACCCTTTACCACTCCACCAAAAGAGCTCTCATCAATGTTCCCAGTGGCCCATGTCACTAAATTCTATTCCCCACCACCCACTTGTTTTTGTTTTTGATTTTCATCTCTTTTGATTTCTTAGGAACATTGGAAAATATCAAATACTACATTCCTCTTGAAAAACTTTCTTCTTTTGACTTGTATCATATCACATTTTCCTGGCTTTTCTCCTGTATTTGACCACAACTTGCTGGTGTCTTTTGCATGTTTCTTCTTCCTACTCCCAAGATAACTATTAGCCTGCCTTCAGGCCATGTCAAGTCTCTCTTCTGCTCACTTTTACAACTCACCTTAAGCAATCCCATGGTATTAGCTAGCATCCATGTCTTTGTTGGACATAAATCTTATGCCCCTTCAGAGATGTCCCTCGACTGCCTCCTTCTTTTTCTTTCTTGGTCAGTGCCCCACCTGGATGGACCTGGTCACACCTCTACCTCAAGGCTAATGCTGAAGTTGTTTGAGTTGGCTGTTAAAGATTGAGTAGAATTTTAAAAGATGGAATATAGAAGTAGAAGAATTAATTCCAGAAATCTAAAGTGGCAAAACAAAAGTGCACACTCATAAAAAAAAAATCAAGGCAAATTTTGGAATCAGCAAGTAGTGTGCTTGACATGAGCACAAGCTTTAAAGGTAGGTTAAGCCTGGCTTATGGAGAATTTGGCTGTCAGAATAAGGAGCCCAGTTCTCATTCAGTAGATAATAGCAATCCCATGATGGTTTTCGACAAGAGACATATGGTTTTAAAACAGTGGTTTAAGATGGCAAACCTAAAGATCTTTTGCAAGGTGGCTTTCAGAAAAAAGACTATAGAGACAGGAATATGAAGCTGCAATGTAACTATTTTAAGCTTTCTGTTTTGGGGTGATAAAAGCTTTAATCGAGAAGACAATGGAACCGGGAGGAAGAATGGGGCCCAGAAAACACACTGAAGGACAGCAACTAAATTTGGCATGCCTGATATGCAACAGATGAAAACACAGGTTAAAAAGTCTCCTTAAGGTTAAAAGTAATTGGAAAAAGAAAGTCACTGTTTATGTTCAGAAGGGGAGTTGAAAATGTGAAACTCACCTCTAAGAGTGAAGCCTGGAGTACTCACATTAATTTGAAAGCTGTAAAGAGATGATAGCTGAAAATTTCAAAGTTGAGTTTTCCAAAGAGAAGGACGTAGAGAAGGGGAAGAGAAGAAAGTCAAGAATAAGGCCTTAGGAATTATATAAAATGTTAACAAAGGAAACACAAAAAGAACAAGCAAAGAAGAAATTCATTTTGTGCAGGGCTAGATAAGCCAGAGAAACGGAGCAGGTCAAGAATGCTACTGAGAGGCTAAAAGGAAAAGAAAGCATTTGGCAAATTCCAAGAGTTTAAAAATCCTTGCAAGGAATTAAGAAGAGATTGATGAAACAGCCTGGTGTTTTAACAGACATTGTGGTTAAAGGGGGAAAAATGTTATAATGTGCTAGTTTAAGTAGGGAGTAGAATTGGTGAAAAGTCTGTGGCTTTGCATGCTTGGTTAAAGCCAAGGAAAAACTGACAGCATATTTTTAGTGAGGAGGGGCAATTATTGGAGAGAAGAGACATAATAAGGTAAAGAAGTGACTAAGTGATGAACATTTAGGAAAACGGAAGAAACTAAAGGAATTAAAGGAACTGGGAAAGATAAGTTATTTTAAAAAGGAAGGACACCTTGTCTTGGATATAGGAAGTTATATCGTGGTTGAAAATAGATTAGCTGTGAAGACCTGAGAGCGATGTGCTCAGAAGTCTATTCAAACTGGATGAGATAAACTTTGCAGACACTACTGGAAAAGAAAGATAAGGGAGGAATCAGATCACATGCAGTTATATGTCTCCTAAAATAGCCATGTATTAGGCAGAGAGGAGGGGCTGCCAAAATAGTTTTTCAGCATTTCTTTTGGAAAGCGATTAATGATAAGTTTTGCCCAAATGATTGTATTTGCTATATTTTGGAAAGTCTAAACCTGGGAAAGCAAATAGGTTTAACATGTCATGTCAACTCCAATTGATTAGTAAACCTGCAGTGCTATTGGAAAAGATTATGAGGGCTGTTCTAGCTCGGTAAGAGAGCACTCAGTGACTGATTAGCAATATCTACTTTGAGCCAAGCATAAAGGGTTGATATATTTGCTAACTCTGGAACCATAACTGTAAGTTATTTAGTCCAATTTTCTGACATACAGATCAGAAGCAAGGCCACATTTAGGTATCCATCACAGATTTATATGAAAGTGGAAAAGTCATAAAAAGCCACCCTACTTTAAGGTTCCTTAGCTGAAAGATATAGACCTTGGAACTTGGGATTTGAAACCTACAGGGTTCAAAAAGAAAAAAATCAGACCCCACTCACTTATCCGATCTATTCTTATTCCTTCCAAGTTCATTTGGGACTGGCTTTAGAGTCAAGGTATTGCTCTGTTGCCCAGGCTGGAGTGCAGTGTGTAATCATAGCTCACAACAGCTTCGAACTCCTGGGCTCAAAGTGATCCACCTCCTTCAGCCTCCCAAGTAGCTGGGACTGCAAGCACACATGCCACTATGCCAGGCTAGGTAAATATATTTGAACATTACAGTCAAAGAATTATAAATCAAAGTTCGCTCTACTATCTCAGATCAATTTTCTGATATTCTTTTCAGCAAGAACAAACACTCTGTTCTGGATTTATAATATAAACATTGATATATTTCTAGAGTATAACTTTATAATCAAAAAGAGTTAACTTTTTGATTAACATTATAAAATTAATGTCTATATTTAATAGTCACATTCTTGTTTTTATACTTGTTGTTATAAAATTCCTCTGCTATTATGTAGTGCATTGTTCATGTGAAACTGTTTTTAAAGGAAGCACAGTTCTGTCTTGATAAATATCAGGAAACTGCCAGATGTTTCCTACTGTCTAAGCCAAACCAGTCAACAGTATGATCATGCTTTAACTAACACGGTCACAAAATGCATACCACCCACAGTCTCTCTATAATACAGAGTCCAGTGCTTTAGCACACAGCAAAATGTACAATTTAAATAGAAAACAAAAGAAAGAAGTGAGGAATGTCATTCTAGTGCAGTTTTAACTTTCTCACTGAAAAATAAAATATACATTAACCATTTTAAATTTCTTAATCCAAAAAGGAATAAACTTGCTTTCTAATATCATGGGACATTTCCTTAAATGGAATAGAATTTACAGTTTTTCCCTTAAAAATGGAGACTTCTTTGAAAGATGAGAAAAAACAAAATGAACTTGTTCAAGAATAATATATCAAGAAAGGCTAGTTACTAAGCAAGTTTCTATTTAACCCACAAGTCGTTGTCATGCCCTTGAACAGTCTGCGTTCTAGCCTCAGTCACCTTGACAGGTGGCGAGAAGGGGAGAGACAAGTAGACTTTCAGACAGAATAAATAGTATCACAGTGACTGGGAGACAGAGAAGCTTAAGATTTACTTAGCTATCAACCAGCTGTTTCTGGATAGGTATATACAGATGAACAAAAGTAGAAAATACTGGCATAGGAGATCCAAAATGTGTGTTGTGGAACCATGAAGCCAAATAGTTTGTACTTAAATTAGAAGGCAAAATAAGGCAATTGAGGGTTTCTGTAAGGGGAAATGTATTTTGGATTGGTGGTGAGTTTCTGCATGCAGAAGGATAAAGAAAGAAGTGTGTAAGACAGGGATCATGGTATGTCTGTGTATAAGAGCCTGAAAAGTGTTGCTATCAAATAAGTTGGAAAAGCTCCAAATGGCAGAGGCAAGCAGAGGAGCATGGTAGGCGAGGTTTTGATGTCAAAGGAGGAAAAGGCTTTGAGTAGAAACCAGATTCCAGTTATATAGAAGGTCACAAGTGAATGAGACTTTCAATACACTGGACTTGGCAGTTGGAAAGTCATAGAGAGAAAGTTGGTAGTGAGAATAAGATTGTAATATTTCAAAAGAAATAGAATTTAATTTTTCTCTTCTGAAAAAATGGAGACTCGTTTAAAAGATGAGAAAGAAATGCATGTATTTAAGAATAATATTATTGTTAAGTATGATTAATTAGTAAGGAATGGAGGCAGGCAAATTATATAATCAATGAAATACCTGATGATAAAAAGATCTGAAATTGAATAAAACCATAGAGAGTATTGCTCTCACAGGAAGCAGGAACAAAGAAAAATTTCTTCTTTTGCTTTGTTGTTACAATTGTTGTTATTATTGATTTAGGTAGATTGTACAAATCATGTTTTTAGGCAGAAAAAAGAAACATAACCAATTGAGGGCAAGAGGTAGAAAATCTAAGACAAGAAGGTATAACTTAGGTCCCAGGAGATCCACAGACACCGGAGTTCAAAAACACAGGCTTAGTAAAAGAAACAAAACCAAAAACAAGAACAGAAAACAACGAGACACTTGTTTCTCCATCGAAAAAGAGAAGGACCAGGAAAGAAAGATGAACAATTAACACATTCTCATGTAGGTAGGAGAAAAATTAGGGGAATGTACATCTGATATTTTCAAACTTTTCCACTGAGTAGACGTGTAGGACATTTGCCAGCAAGATGGCAGGCTGAAATAGTGCTGGACTCTTGAAGAAAAGAGAGAAGGTTTGTAAATGATACAGTAAAGAATTCAAGTGAGAAATAAAAGAACCCCAGTGTGCAGCAAAGGTTAGTCAGGTTTTCTTCTCATCTAACCAACACCTCAAGTGCAGATGAAACTCAACGCCATGATAAGACAAGGATGGTCACCTTCTTGGCAAGAGGCTATGGAATTTTATGTCAATCGTTATAACTTTCTTACCACACTATCTTATATGTAACTGAGTGACTTGTACTCGAAGTGGCCACCTCTTTTCTTCCTGAGGAAACAAAAGTAAATTACCTATAGGCCTACTTTAGTCCGGAAAGGCTCACTCCTGCACTCTCTTTCAGAGTGCCTGCCAGTAGGATCCACTGATATGACCTAAGGAAGCCTGCTCACATCACATGTTGCTGCCCAAAGCTGATCATAGAGGAGGAAGTAAACCAATTTTCATAAGAAGTTCAGAGCCTTATGGGAGGGAATGAACTCCTGCTCCCTAATATTTGATGCTAAAATATCTGTTGGATTGGACCAATGTAACACAAAGTTGGCAGGCAAGAAAAGATGCCAAAGGTCTCAAAGAGAAATGCACTCATAGGGCAGAATCGATTATGTGCTGGAGAACCCATTATGTGCTGGCAACTTGTGATCCATTGTTGGGTGGCTGGCACAGCAGTTATCTCAGGCTTGTGCTTTGGTGCATAGTTAGTGAACATATGTGTGACTCAAACAAGGGAGCCATCAAATTTGGGCCTAAGCTTGAAATAAATGGGATTCAGTTCAACAAGCACATTACTGAAAAATGAAGAAACTTTGACTGGACTGTTCAGAAGCAACAGAAAATGTAAACTGATCAGGTGTTCCATTTCTCTACCCTCCTGGTATTTGATAGCTCAACCGGTCCCATTTTCAACTTGTAAATATTTGGAGTGACCATTAAAACGTAAGCAAAAGACACAAACAGTCACTTCTCAAAAGAAGACATACTAGTGGTCAAAAAACATACAAAAATATGTTCAACATTACTAATCACCAGAGAAATGCAAGTTAAAACCACAATGAGATATTAACACCATCTCACACCAGTCATAATGGCTGCTGCTAAAAAGTCAAAAAACAACAGATGCTGAGCAGGCTGTGGAGAAAAAGGAAAGCTTATACACTGTTGGAGGGAATGTAAATTAGCTCAGCCACTGTGGAAAATAGCTTGGAAATTGCTCAAAGAACTTAAAACAGAACTACCATTTCACCCAGTCTTATTACTGGGTATATATATATTTTAAAAATTGTCCTACCAAAAATACACATACACTCACATGTTCATCATAGTACTATTTACAATAGCAAATATATGGAATCAACCGAGGTGCCCATCAACAGTGGACTGGATAAAGAAATTGTGGTACCTGTACAGCATGGAATACTATGCAGCCATAAAAAAGAACAAATTCATGTCGTTTGCAGCAACATGAATGCAGCTGGAGGCCAGTATCCTAAGCTAATCAATGTAAGAACAGAAAACCAAACCTTATAAGTGGGATCTAAACAATGGGTACTCATGGACATAAAGATAGTAATAATAATAGATGTTGGTGACTATTGGAGGGGAGAGGGAGGGAGGGAGAGGGCAAGGGCTGAAAAACTACTATTGGGTACCATGCTCAGTACCTGGATGATGGGATCATTCATTCCCCAAACCTCAGCATCATGTGATATACTCAGATAACAGACCTGCAACTGTACCCCCGAACCTAAAATAAAAGCTGAAATTGTTTTGAAAAATGGGGTGATAAGGTTCAAGTGGGAAATATATACTTGCTACTAATAATACAGAAAACAATAATTTAATAAGAAAATAAGAAAATATCATCATACTGTTACTGGGAACCACTAAAGACTCCTGTGCGATTACCTAGTCAATTTTCTTTCCCATTAGACTATGAGCACCAAGATAGCAGACATGGACTTATTCATCCTGGTCTCTTTAGTACTGAAAGGCAGCTGGTCTACATTCAATATGTTTTGACCAACAGAGTGAAGAAGGGAAAGAAGGTGGAGGAGGCATGGAGAGAAGAGGAGGGAGGACACAGCAGCCTCCATGGAGGAGCTGGTTCAAATGGAACCCTAATCTCTTAGCTGTGAGCTGATTAGGAGGAAGGGAAGCTGAAGATGATAGATTTAGCAAAGGCTGCTGGGCCAGCAAGAGCATGCAGCAAGAGCATGCCATGGGTGAAATACAGTTACCCCAAAGAAAGTCTGGGAACAAAGGCCAATAATCAGAAATGAGTTGGTGTCAGGGATTTGCTGTTGAGGGAGAGAGGTCATCCAAGGGGAAGCTCTGCAAGCAAGCCAAGATGAAGGCTGAGGGCGATGGCAGTTTCCAAACAAAAACAGGTAAAGACAGAAAAGGAAGAGAGGAGTTGGAGGTGAAGTTTGAAAGCAAAAGGAAAATGAACTCACTAAGATGGTGAGGCAGAGACTTATTTACAGATGAATATATCAGCTTTGGATTTCTAAGTACTTTGCTCTACCCCTACTTCTTAAGAAAATAGACATGCAGGCTTGACAGAAATTTTTTTTTAAAAAAAGAAAAAAGAGGTGGATGCTTTACAACTACAACCAAAGAGAGAAAAATTGCATATGAGTTTATATTAGGAAAAGAGCTGTCTTTTAAAAAATACCTTAAAAACAGTTTTGGTGAAACAGAGGAAATGAAAGTTGAGTCACTGAAAGAAGAGAAGCAAAACAATAGTTAAATTGACTGATTTCCATTAGAAATTAACTAAAATTTGGAGGTGAACTAGAATGGAAAATAAAGGGAAGAAAGAAAGAAATGTTGGAGAAGGACTGGACAGCACAACTTGAAGAACTGAAAGACCTCCATGTACAGAGATGTCTGGTGCTCAATTTGACCTTGTTTTCTCTTATCTCGTAAACTCCCTTTCACCCAAGTCATGAACAATATTTTCTACAGACAGAAATGCCTTGGGAGCAAAGTTTTGGGGAAATGAAGGAAAGACTCAGAAAAGAACAGCAGCAAGAGGTGAGAGGTGAGTGGGCTACAGGGAGGAACTGGGGGTGGAATTCAGAACTAGAGGTGACCTTGAGAAAGTAAGCCCCGGGAATCATAAAGAACCGGACACTGAAGTGATGTGGTATGAGGTGAAAATGGCTGATCACCTGGGGCAGGCTGGTCGAGGCAAAGAAAATCAGAAGGTGGGGGAAAATCAGGAGAAACAGAGAGACTAGAGTAGGATGTGGACACATACCAGGATTTATGTAAGGGAAAGGGAGAGATGGAGGCCTGGAAAACTCACATGTTTGAGATATTGAAGGTGGGAGGATTTTAAGATAAGCCAGTGCTGGCAGAGATGAAGAGGAAGGAAAGGTAAGGGAAACTCAGCAGCAACTCCAACACTGAAGGGCAAAGACAGTACTGATATTTGATATTTCAGTTAACGATTTATCGCAGAGCAAAAGGTGGTTGTCTTCATATTCTACATTCTGCCCAAGGTGCTGCTTCCCCTGAAAGAGGGTCAGGGTACAGACCTGAGGTGCCTTGGACCTCTGGCTCAGATGATTGATAAAAATAAGTCCTGGTTTAAATAAATCATTTAAGAGCACCAGGGGTCAAGCCCCTGACAATTTATCAGACTTTGAATAAGAAGAAATGAGAGTGAAGCGCATCATTAATCAGCCTACAGAGACGGTATGGGGGTTAGACAAGGCGACGACCTCTCACCCTTCATTACTTGCTTGTACTCAGGAATCCCCCTGCCACACGGTCCCCTATTCTCCGGATTCCCTCCCCCAACAATTCTAAAGAAAATCCTATCATGAACCTCAGGAAGTGTGGGCCAAACTAGCTTTGGGGAACTACAAATGAGTAAATCATAAGAAAAGTTGCTTGGCTCGCTATTAACCAGGGAAATCAGATTTTAAATAGAAATACTTTTAGATATTTAACAGGGAAGAAATGAAGTCAGAACACTTTCAAAGTGATAGTGGAAGTGCACATAAACTAAACGTAAACAGTGCAAGAAATTTTCACAAAGTGAATACAACTCTGTCACGAGGGCTGCCATTCAATACCAAAATATGACCAGCAACCCAGAAGCCCCTTTCATGTTCTCTTTCATACTACACTCCAAAGAGCAGACTCGAGCTTTACTTCTAACACCACAGGTTAGTGTTGCATTAAAAAGTGTAGTCATTTTCTTCAAAATTTTAATACTCTCTAGCTGCAAAATAGAGATCATTAATATCCAAAATTGGTAGATATTACCAACTATACTAAAATACTTTAAAGTAGCACAGTATAATAGAACAGCAGAAAGTATAATATTAGTATTGTAATCACTCAAGTTAGGGAGATTGATACATTCTAAGGTTTAGTGTTAGAAGAGTCATACTCTTAGAACTTGAAGTTGACAGGAGACAAGGAGGAAGAGTGGAGTTGAGGTCTCTGAGCCATACGTTGATGTCACTAAGGAAAAAGTCAGTTGAGCAGGTGACTGCAACCAAAGAGAGAGGAAGGCATAGAGTTCAAGTGTCAATAAGTAAAGGCAACAAGTTGTGATCAGAATATGGCAGTGGGGAGCCCTTCTATCCATTAACATTTTTTTTGGTGGCAGAAGGAGCAGCTTCTTTGAGTGATTGTGATGACAGGGAAAGCTAATGGGAGGAAATGATTGAGAAGATGAGTCAGTTTGATGACTGTGGAGTGGAAGCTAGACAAGGCACAGTGGAGGGTATTCCTAATCTTCTGCAAGTCTCCAACACAGTGAAACAGCAACAAGGTCTAAACTAAAGTCCCAAAGTTATCCCTTTCATATGGGAAAAGGATATAAGCACTTTCCCTGCTAAGGTAAGAGATCCTAACCATGTTTGTCTTGTTGACACTTCTGAGATGAAAAAAGTAGATTGTCACAAGGAGGAGCACAGGAGAGAGCAGCACATACACACAACATTTAAAATTCTATTTTAGAAGGTTATCTGACTCCTGAAACTCATTCATGTAGATCCATGTATATTACAGGTTAAGAACTCTTGGTTCAGGGAAAATGTGTATTTGAGAAAATAGCAAGCCAACTGAGAATATTTATTTAAACAGAGTAAAAACAGGGTGTGGTGAGAAGAGCGCTGTATTTGGAGTTAGAAGTCCTGGTTAGATGCATGCCCATGGCAAGTCCCTTAACCCTGGGGCTTAGTTTGCTCATTTCCAGGATGAAAATAAGTCATGGGGTATAATATGTACTTCTTCCTACTTCTCAGGTTCAAATGAAATAATGTGACTGTGCATAGAAAACATCCAAAAGACCATACAAATAGAAGTCACTATCAGTGTTATGCTTACCTATTACTTGGTTTATGCATTCCCAAGTATCCAGCTTTTACTAGAATATTAAACAAAAGAGGAGCAGGAAAGCATTGTTTTTCTTCCCACTGGTGACCAAATGGGTGAATGTCCTTATCTGTATTCTGTAATCAAGATTGAAAAAATAAGAAAACTGTTTCATCAAAAGGGAGTTTTCCTGTAAAAACTTTTTCCTGAACTGTAAATTATGTAGTCAGAACAGTTCTTTGACTTCAGGTTTAAGTCCATTATAAATAATACTAATAGAAATTATACTCTGCCTATTTTTCCATTTCTTTCTAATTCCAGACATCATCTAGGTATCCTTATTCTAATATGTAAAGGAAAGAAAAGAGAAAATGTTGGGTTGCATTGTATTGTAAATAGCAGTAAAACACTCAGAGACAGCATTATAGCAAATATCTGTTTAAGCAAAGCCCAACCAAATACCTCATTCAGCGGAAATTTTGTTTTAACTTAGCTTTTAGGAAATATAGGAGGTTGAAATTAGCCTAATCAGTTTTTGGCAATAATAATCATGATGATGATGGATATAAAGGATAAGAATGAGAAGAAGTGAGAGAAAGGAGGAGAGAGAATAGAGAAGAAAGAAGAGAAAGAAGAAGAGGAGGATAATGGAGGCAAAGATGGAGAGGAAGAAAACCAAGGTGTCAACAGCAATGTGGAAGACCAAGAAGGTATGTGGGACTTTAACCCTTTACCCTATATCTTATTCATTGTTTCAACCTCTCTTCATTAAGTGTTAATTATGTTGTGTACTGAGGGGAATACAAAAGATATATATTATATATGTGATCCAATTATTTGTTTTTTGTTTGTTTTTTTGTTGTTGTTGTTTCTTTTTTTTTTTTTTTTTTTTTTTTGAGACCGAGTCTCGCTCTGTCACCCAGGCTGGAGTGCAGTGGCGCGATCTTGGCTCACTGCAGGCTCCACCCCCTGGGGTTCACGCCATTCTCCTGCCTCAGCCTCCCGAGTAGCTGGGACTACAGGCGCCCGCCACCTCGCCCGGCTAATTTTTTGTATTTTTAGTAGAGACTGGGTTTCACCGTGTTAGCCAGGATGGTCTCAATCTCCTGACCTCGTGATCCGCCCGTCTCGTCCTCCCAAAGTGCTGGGATTACAGGCGTGAGCCACCGTGCCCGGCCAATTATTTGTTATTTACACATATATCAGGTAACCTGGTGGTTTCAAATGAAAGAAATTCAGCTTCTTTAAAGAAGGAAATGTACAACACCCAAAAGAAACAATATCAAGCAGTGAAAAAAGTAACTCAAGTTGAATCAGATTCCCTGGGTTTGAATCCGTATTCCATCATTGAAAACCTGTATGACCCAGGGAAAATTACCTAAGCTCTTCAAGCCTCAGTTTTGTCACTAATCCTAGTACATATTTTATAAGGTCTTTGTGAGGATAAAATGAGATAATGTGTACAAAGCCTTCAACACAAAGTCAGATACACTCCACAAATGTTGACAAGCAGCATTAAGATGCACAGGAGAAGAAAGAAGCCTCTAAATATGGAAACTACAAACCTAATATTCTCATTGTGGGTTTGCTGCTAATTTGCTCCACAACCTTTATGAAAGCATCTGACTTATGGTTTCCTCACCTATCTTAGAAGGTAAACAGAACACAGTCCATGAGACTGACTTCACTTTTGATACCCATTCAGGTTCAGCATTCCCCAAGACCATCCTTAGAGTCACTAATTCACTAGGACTCACATAACTCACTGAAGGCTTTTATAATCACAGTGGTAGTTCGTTAAAGCCAAACAATACAGATCAAAATCAGCCAAGGGAAGAGATGCATGGAGTGGAGTCCAGGAAAGTTCTGAACATGGAGGTTCCAGTTATCCTCTTTCAGTGGAGTCACGGAAAGCACTACACTTTTGAAAACACTGTGTGACAATGTACATGAACTATGGCCAACCAAGGAAGCTCACCTGAGCCTTGGTATCCAGAGTCTTTACTGGGGCTCCCTGGTCAACTGGTCTCAGCCTCCAGTCTCTCAGATGAAGCTGATACTACATGGCCCTAGAAATCAAACTGGAACTGCATGATAGACTTTCTGCATGGCCCAAAGCCCCAGGTAAACAAAGGCATTCTTGTCACGCAGAACTTTCAAAGGGCTTAGAGGTTACTCCCCAGTGGCCAAGGGCAAAGGCCGGATCTCTCTTTGGGCAAGGTTAATTCATTACTACACACTATCCAAAGCTGGACTCAGTTTCATTGCTCTTGACCAGCAGCCTTCAAACTTCCATGACTGGAGCCTACAAAAAAAAATTGAATATTGACTCAAACACATACATATATTTCATATGATATGTCCTTTTATTCGATGGAATATATGCTGATATTTTACTTCATTTGATTTTATCTTACTCAAAATATTTGTTACATTTCACAAAACTGACCACTAATAATGGGTTCTAATATGTAGTTTGAAAAACACTGATCTAGCGAAGGAGTCAGCAGACTATGGCTGTGGGCCAAATTCAGCCTGCTGCTTGTTTTTATAAAAAATGGTTTTTTTGGAACACAACCACACCCATTGGTTTATGTATTTCATTGCCTGTGGCTGCTTTTATATTAAAGTAGTTGTCACAGAGATGGTAGTCCTGCAAAGGCTAAAATGTTTGCTATCTGGCTCTTTACAGAAAAAGTTTGGCAGCCCCTGAGCTAGTAACACCATTATGATTTATAACTTCAGCAAAATGCATTTATAATATTACCTTACCTCCCTTCCAGTAGATGACAAATGCATAACCTTTTATCTATTTTTTAGTTTATACAAATGCATGATAATGTTATAAATTTTAGATTCCAGACACTCAACTAAATTCTTCAAAGAGAGGTATGTTTTGGAAAATGTCTTTCTAAAAGGGTGAAAAGAATCCCATATTTCCAGGGTCAGCTACCAAGTCAATGGATGCACCAAGGCTATGTAATGCTTTAAGCTCATGATTTGTGTCCTCAAACTTGTGACTATGTTACTTATTAATCAAAAAGTATTAGCAAACTCCTTTTTTAGATAAACTGTACCTTTCACTATAGCAAAATATGAGGAATTATGTGAAAAACTCTCAGCACAGTAAAAGGAAGCAGAAGCCTGAGAAATATTGATCAGGATTACAGAGAAAGAGTTCAGTCTTATTAAGAGAAATGTATTGTTTCAAGGGGAGTAGGATCTTCCAATAAAGGCATGCATCCAAAAAAATATCAATAGGAGTCTCTCTAAAGTCCACGTTCAGACAGAACTGAAACAGAAGCAAATTTGGGGAATGAAGCGTAGATTAAATAGCAAACCCCAATTCTCTGGGCATCTTTCTCATCTCTGCTACCTGAGACCGAATATTAGGAAAAGACTAGAAAGCAAAGAAGACTGTTCCAAAGGTTGAGTTAGGGGTGGGTGGAAGGCAGAGGGGCACAATATATCAGTTTTTGAAATACTAGCAAAATTTGCCTATTGTAGTATTTACCCTCACCAAAGTGACTGACTAGTATTGGGAACAAATGAAAACTTGGTACTCCACTGAGTCTGGCTCTATTAAATATGAATCTTTCAGCATGAAGAGGTGATCAAGCTGCAAGAATTATTTCTACTCAATAACAAAAGACACAAGAGGGATATGATCAGATCCTGCAGTCCTGCTTTCCAGGAATTTATATGTCTATTAGTAAAATTAATTTTTAGGAGGCTGCTTATTTTCCCCTAGGTTAAATTAGGCTTTGCTACATTAGCTGGGAGGGTTTGTCAAGTTCCTGAAACTAATTCATTTTGATGCTTCTCTCATAATAGATTTCAAATCCTCCCCCTACCAATCTTTTTGAATTATTATACATCTGTACACTGACCATCCCCACTTTTTGTGTTTAGCATCAGAACCTTCTAGTTTATCCTAATGGAATATCCTTCAACCCCACTCCCACATATTCCTAGGTCATTCTAATTGGCTTCTACAGCCCATGTTTGAGACAAAATTCCTTATCTAATGAGGTGGATTGATTGCAAATGACCTGAACTTTCCACCCTTCCTTGTATTCATGCTTCTTGCCATGTGAATTTGCAGCTTCCCCACTCAAGAAGGGTCATGTATTTTCCTTCCCCTTGAATATGGGTTGGATTTGAGTCTTGATGTGGGCAATTGAATGCAGTGAAAGTAATGGTGTGCCAGTTCTTTCCGTAGGCCTTCAGACACATTTCACGCTTCTAATCTCTTTTGCTTAGAAGCCTGCCATGCCATGAGAAAAAGCCCAAGGAATCTTGTTGAAGGATGAAAGACACCTGACCCCATCACCCCCTTTGCCCCAAACATCTTCTTGCCAACACCCAACTTACCCGTCAGCTCCAAGCTGATCTACCAGCTGACCACAACTGAGTGAAACCAGCCAAACTCAACAGAGTCAGGCCCAGATAAGCCGGCTGGTAGACTCACAAGCAATAAATGCATTGTTTTCGGTCATTGAATTTGGGGTAATTCATTACTCACAGTGGCTGAAAAGATATTCCAAAGCTTTTTTACCAAAGACAGTGTACTCAATTAATTAGCAAGTTCCTCCTGTTCCTATATAAACTTGATAAATGTCTTCTTGGGCTGCCAAGCTGCACCCAATAAGTTAATTTTTTTCTTCTTAGTTTAATACTTCACAAATTCTTCTGCTTCATTTAAGATACTGTCTATCCTCCTATGAAATGTCACCAGAAGTTAGAAATGTCCTAGTCTTACTGTAATCATTCACTTATTACTCCTTTTTGCAAATAGTTAATCCCCTTACACGTTGTACATAAGATTGGTTTAATTAATTGAACTTAATAAATGTTGCTACCATTTGTTTCAATTGCCAATTCCATTTGTTTCAACTGCCAATACAAAAAAAGATTGGCTGAACTTGTCTATAAAGGGTAACATTTACAGATCTTTGACCCATGTGTTTGGGAAAATTGAAATGAATGGTTTTTAAATGTCTAAATTACTTCCCACCCCAAATTGAAAAATCTAAATAGTAATAAATATTAATTTATTCTACCTCATATCTGCTTTTACATTCAAATATTATATGTAAGCAAAAATCAGTTGGAAACTCAATTGCATACAGTCTTTCAAAGATTTGTGGAAACAAAAAAGAGAAAAGACAAGGCTGGATATTGACAAAGAGCATACACATCCATGTTGTAATGTTCCTCATTGACACATAATTTTAATTATAAGGAAGGAACAATTAACGACAATGGACTTTGAACTGTTCTCAAGTAATCAGTGAACTATATCAATATCAGAGTTTTCAGGTTAAGTTTTCAAATATTGAATATAAGTTTAAATATTTCTCTTCTCTCTTCATTTTTCTCTCTTAGATTAAGACCTGTATAGGTTTCAATACCATTTCAAAAAACTTAATAAGGCAGGACCACTCCCTTTTCTTTCTTTCCTGTACTATATTAAACAGAGCTGTGAAAGTGTAAGTGAATATACAAATTCTTTAGAATAGATATATTTTTATATGTTGATATTTACTTTGATTACTTCCCAAAAGGATGTGAAGCCACTTACCGACAGTGATGAGTGGCAAGAAATGAGTATTTTTTATGGATTTAAAGATCTCTGTTCACAGCCTAGAGAATCAAGCCCATTAACTCCCAAACCAGCTCTGTGAAGTAGATTATTAAAATCATCTGTCTCAGACTGGTGATGAGACAAGAGTGAGATAAAGCTAAAGCCTATGGCTAACGTTATTAAAGAACAATTAAAGAAAACATACGAGTTTTTACAGTGGATCAAATTGATCACTTCTTAGAAAATATTATTTGGTACCCATAAGCAATTCTTTAGAGCTGGTTGACTATCACTTAAAACTCCTTGCAGGGTCTGATTGATTTCTTTTACGCTCTCTTCTGTAATTCATGTAGCTTCTATCAGATAGTTTCTGATGCTAAACTGAGAGATTACGTCATGGAATAAATATGTAAAAAGCTATTTGACATATAATTAGAGTTTACAATCATGTTCATAATAATTTCAAGTTGTGATATGATTTTTATTAAGAAAGCAAAATTCACCCACTTGGTTGGTACAGGTTAAAATTGTTATTATTATATTGGTTCCAGAGCATATGAACCAGGACCAATCACTCTTCTGCCAAGTAGTTATCCTGATTAATCACATCTTTGCACTACTTGATTGGACCTCCCATGACTTGAATCAGCTTGCTATGTACTTAGCATGTTCTACCTTAAACAACCTAGCTCTCTTTCCCAGGGCAGGCTATCTAGGCAGGAACATAGATTTATTACCTACAGTTCTTTTTTTCTAATACTGTTTTTTTAGAACTAGAGTTGTTCTGTTTAAGTCCTTTTACTAGCTCCACTTTTTAAATATAGTTGTTTTATGTCTATTTATATTGAACACTGTATCAGATGGTATTAAATCTTTTGCTTCAGCCATGAAGTATGATTAAATAAACTGACAAGTTCAAGGATAGTCTATAATGTCTGCTTCAATGTTTTATCCTTCATCTTTTATTTTTCCTTTTTCCTGAGAATATATGCATTTTGTTGTTGGCATTTTATTTTTGTTTTGAAAGTTTCCTTTAGCCGT
Source organism: Homo sapiens (assembly GCF_000001405.40). Classification (NCBI taxonomy): domain Eukaryota; kingdom Metazoa; phylum Chordata; class Mammalia; order Primates; family Hominidae; genus Homo; species Homo sapiens. The sequence goes on along the minus strand of NC_000007.14, from coordinate 93,931,217 downwards.
TCTTCAAGAGAAGTTCTGCTAGCAACAAATTCTGTTAATTTTCCTTCATTTGAGAATGTCTATTTCCTCCTAATTCCTGAAGAATCCTTTCACTGATAAAGGATTTAATGTTTACAGCTCTTCTCTTTCAGCATTTAAAAATGTCATGCCTCTTCCTCTGGCCTCTAGAGTTTCTGATGAGGAATCCACTTAATTCAAATTCATCTTCCTTTATGCATAATGGATCATTTATCCCTGGCCTTTTATAAGTTTTTCCTTGGTCATTAGTATTAAAATGTTTAATTATGATGTGTCTAAATGTGAATTATTTCAGGTTTATTATGTTTATAGTTTGCTAAGCTTCTTGAATTTGTAGATTTACATCTTTTATGAAATTCTGTACATTTTTATCCACTACTTTTCTTTTACTACTTTTTCATTCCCACACTCTTCTCCTTTTCTTCCTGGACTCTGATTATGCCAGTGCTAGATCTCTTGTTACTACTCTACGTATTACTGTGGATCTGTTCATTTTTAAAAACCTATCTGCTCTCTGCTGTTCAGATTGAGAAAATCCTATACATTTGTGTTCAGGCCTACTGATTCTATTATCTGTCATCTCCACTCTACTGCTGAGACCATGTATTTACTTGGTAGACATAAATATTGTAAAATTCTACATGAAAAGAGAAAGCCCACATAATAGTCAAAACAATTTTGAAAAAGATGAATAAAGTATGAAGAATCTCTCTTCCTGATGTTACTACCTATTATATCGTGGTAGAAATCAAGACGGTGTGGAGCTGGTAAAGGAATAAATACATAAATGAATAAAATAGAAAAGGACACCTAGAAATAGATTCACACAAATATGCCCAGTTAATTTTTGGCAAAGTAGCAAAAGCAATCAAATGGAGAAGGAATAACCTTTTCAATAAGTGATCCTAGAGCAATTAGACTACTGGCAAAGAAAGAAAGAAAGAAAGAAAGAAAGAAAGAAAGAAGAAAGAAAGGAAGGAAGGAAGGAAGGAAGGAAGGAAGGAAGGAAGGAAGGGGCGAGCAGGCCTATATTTAAACTTCACACCGCATACAAAAATTAACTAAAATGGATTAGAGACCTAAATATAAAACATAAAACAATAAAATTTTTAGAAGAAACACAGGTGAAAGTCTTTGGGATGAGGAATAGATAAATATTTTTTAGACTTGACACCCAAATCTTGATCTATAAGACAAAAAATGGATAAACTGGACCTCATCAAATTGAAAACATCTACTCTGTAAGATTAAAAAAAGCATTAAAAGGTTTAAAAAACAAATTATAGAATAGAAGAAAATATTTACAAATCACATATCTAATAAGGTCTTATATCCCAAATATATAAAGAACCCTCAAAACTCAACATTAAATAAACAAATTAGAAATAAGCAAAACACAAGAATAGACATTTCATCAAAGAGGGTATACACATAGCAAATACACGGAAAATGTTCAAAATCATTAGCTATCAGAGAGATAAAATTAAAACCATAATGAGATATTACTATCCACAATAGCTAAAATGAAAAATAGTGATAACACCAAATATTGATGAAGATGTAGAGAAACTGAGTTGCTCATACATTGCTTATGGGAATGTAAAATGGTACAATCACTGTGGAAAACAGGTTGGTAGTTTTTTTAAAAAGTAAATATAAATTTACCATGGAACCTAGCAAATGTATTCCTAAAAATTTATTCCGGATGAGCAAAGACTTATCTTCATACAAAAATCTGTACATGAATGTTCATAGCACCTCTACTTGCATTAGCAGAGAACTGAAAACAACCCAGACATTCTTTGATGGATAAATTGGTAAACTGTGGCACCTCTGTAGCATAAAATACTACTCAGCAATAAAAAGGAATAAACTATTGATACACACAACCAACTTGGATGAACCTCAAAGAAATTATACTGAATGATAATAGCCAACCTCAAAAGGATAGCTACTGTATGATTTAATTTATGCAGCAGTCGTAACCTAATTATAGAGATGGAGAACAAATTAGTGGTTGCCAGCAAAGGAGGAGAACAGGCATCTTCAAAAGAGAAAATTGACACACACGAAAACTGACTAAAAATCATTGGAAATCAAAGAAATGCAAATTTAGACAATGGTGAGATATTAATTTGCATCTAGCATACAAAAAATTTTGGTCTCACAATACCAAGTGTGGGTGAGCTTTAAGGTAGCTTCTGCCTAGAAATAGAAAAGCCCAATTTTTCTTTCTTCTTTTTTTTTTTTTTTTGAGATGGAGTTTCACTCTGTCACCCAGGCTGGAGTGCAGTGGCGTGATCTCTGCTAACTGCAACCTCCGCCTCCAGGGTTCAAGTGATTCTCCTGCCTCAGCCTCCTGAGTAGCTGGGATTACATGTGTGCGCCACCACACCTGGCTAATTTTTTGTGTATTTTTAAGGAGAGACGGGGTTTCATCATGTTGGTCAGGGTGGTCTCAAATTCCTGACCTCGTGATCTGCCTGCCTCAGCTTCCCAAAGTGCTGGGATTATAGGCGTGAGCCACCCTGCCCGGCCTGATTTTTCTAATTCTATATGAGTTTATAGAACCTAAGTCTCACTACACAATGCATGATAACTATTTTTAATCAAATAGTAAATAATTACACAACTATACACTTTGAATAAATTGGATACATAATTTAAATTCTACTTAACAAATTATCAGTCACCAAAGGTTACATTTACAATATATCTAAATATATAGTGGATGTATTTTTTCTTTTTTAATTACAAGCTAATAATTTTAGCAGTTGAACAGTTGAAAATTAAAATATTTTTATTGCACTTCTACATGTTGGCTGGGTTATAATGATAAATGGTAAGAAAAAGAAACAGAATTATATTTAATAGAAGCACCTATAAGATTAGATATTTATTCAGGAAAAACCAGAAGTCGTCCAACTGATTGATCATATGGTTGAAAGAGACATGAAGAGCAAAAGCTAGGACTTGGGAGTGTACACAAATGGATAGCTGAATGTGCTAATAGAAATCAGGATATAGACTTGTAATCGCAACTCCCAACAAGTTAGGGAATAAATGTATTGTCTTGGCCTTTCATGAAAGAAGCAGGTGATTTAAACTGCCTTGCCAGTAACCGGAATAAATGTTTGCTTTCATAGGCAACAGAAGAAAACTTTATAAGTGCAAAGAAATGAAACAGCTAATAGAAGTAAAACTTTACAGGCACCAAAGCTCTAAAATCCCATGCCATGTTAAATGTTAAATGACTAATAGTACTAATAGTTCTATGCTGTTTGGAAGAAATACACCTTTACTATTCCTAAATCCTTCCTAAGAGTAGTAGATCATACTACTCCTTCCTAGGAGTAGTAGTTTTGGGCTAAAATTATCCCTGGGCTCTCAGTAATGCCAATTGATGTCATCACTTGGACAGTGTCAGGAAACTGAAGGAAATAGTTTCTGCTTTTGGTCTGTGTAAACTATTTTTCAAAAGCCTGGGGTATTCTGTTCTTTCCCAGAGAGGGAAAGGAAAGGAATTTCAGAACGAGGATGCTGATATACTTTAGAAAGCTGCTACAGGTTACAGGCGCCTCTCTCGCTTGATAGTAAGGTATACCTACATGTGTAAGTGGGAGAAAAGAGCTAGTCAAGGAGAAACATTGGCTTCTGGTGCCACATTGAAAATTGCAGGTCAAGTTAATGACTAAGTCCATTTGAGCTAGAGCTAACCAGCAAGGGTTTTTCCACGTTTTTCTTTTGGCTCAAACTTGGAGCAATTTTGACCCAAAAGACGGAGAAGAAGCGGGAGAATGCTCAAGGTGAGAAAGAAAGGTCCCTTTTTGTGAGGTTTGGGCTTCAGGTACCTTTGTTATGAACTTGAGCAGGAGTTATACTCTGACGTGTTGCCCTGCAGGATAAAACCACTGAAGGGAAGGTCACTGTGAAAAGGTAAGCCACAGACTGGGAGAAGGTATTCGCAACACATATCACCAAACACGAATAAATGGCCAGAATATATGAAGAATTCCTACAAATCAGTAAGAAAAAGACCAACTAATCTTTAAAGTGGGCAAAGATTCACTGGTTCCTTTGGAGGAGAAGAAAAAAAGGCATGTTTGGCCCAGGCCTGCTGGAAAATGCTGGCAAGCATGAGTGCAGAGGTCCAAGTGTCTGCACCAATGCCACAGAACTGGAGTAGTGCCATGCCCAAGACCTGGAGAGCACATGGGAGATGTAGCTCTGTGCAGGAATAAGTACTGGCTCTCAAAGCCAGGGCTGGCCTGGCCACTACACGGCAGAGAGGCAGGGCACTCTTCCTGAACCCCAACTCAGTATTTTCTTCAAGGCTACTACTACAGGAACACTATTAAGAAGATCTAAATGATGATAAACTAGGGAAGTACTAACATAGATGTGGCTTGGCCTTGTTCCTGACTCAGATAATCTGACTTCTGTCAATGTTATAGGAATTCTACCTGCTCAGTTTCTTAATAGTTAAGGTTAGATCAAACACGTTCCAGAGGTCAGAACTCAGCACTCTAAACCATTGACGCAGGGTTTGGAGATGTGATCTGTCGAACCACCTAACCTTCTGAATCATATTCCAAACCCAATCATACTCCACACCCAAAAGATTACGGGGAGAAATATAAAAGTTAATGCATGAAAAGTGTCTTCTTAAATCACCAACACTCATCTTCCCAAGACAAAACTTTATTTGAAGCATCAAGCAATATACTGAAAGAAGTGTCATGCTCAAGTAATGTTCTTATTTCCATAATTGTACATCTGATACTCTCTGCTCTCTTAAAAAAGACTGCATAGTGAGCAAAGATGAGTAGCACATATGCTTTTATACATAACCCTATCTATATGGTGCTTAAGAAAGTCTCCTTTTAATTTCATTCTTCCTTCCTTAAAAAGCATGTTGGTTTTATCTGGGAAAACTAAAACAAACTAGTTCTTCCACTTAGGATGCAGTTTCTCCCAAGTTATTTATGAAATAACACAGCTGCCTTTTTCTTTAAAGGGGTTCTTGTCTTCTGGAATTCCCTTTACTAGAGGATCCTCTCCAGAACGTTCTTCAATATAGTTCTTTATTTCTTCAGAACATTTAGACACCTTAAGTATAGAAAAAAAAGAGAATACATTAGGTTAGGGTTGTTTAAACTTTGTCCCTACGCCTTAATGAAATAAGTATAATTGAATACAATAAGTTTTTAAACATTTTTTTACATTTACATATATATGTGCATGTGTGTGTGTATATATTATATATATAATACATATATAAAATCTGGGCTCTGCACTCTAATATTTTTATTCTATTACTATACCTATGATGCAACCTATGTAAAATATATTTCTTACTGTTGGTCGTTGGTCAAATTAAAAAATGTTTGAAAGTCACTGCATTAAATAAATCATCTCCAGCAGTTTTTTTCCATTGTGTCTCATATGATTTCCTTCCTCTGCTAAAATACAATTATGCCATGTCTACAATATTTTAGGAACTGAAATATACTCTTATTTTAATTTTCCATGCTAGTGAGCAGGTGCAGTAGTAGATAATCCCCAAATGTTTTGGGGTGTGTAATGCCACGATTCTCACTTATGGGTGTGTGCCATGTTCTGAAATTTCACGAAATGATAGAAGCTTTGGAAAAAGCCTGATTCTGGAAAGATTGGAATTGTCCAAATATCGCACTCTGTGTTGCTCCTCAGAATTTCTTCCTGCTGCATGAGGGCAATGATCATAATAAAAGACTTATCTGAGACTTATTAGGCTTATCTGAGAATAAATTTTTTTCTGAGATGGAGAAAAAATTGAATAGTGTCTTCAAAAAGTCTATTCTTAAAAGAAGAGTTTCTTCAAAAAGTCTATCTATCCTTAAAAGACAGGTTGCAAGAATGAATTAAAAAAAGAATAAAAACAAAAGAAAAGAAATTAGGGTTTTAATGAAGGCCTGTATTGCTAGTAAGAAATTTAAAGTAAAAATTACAGAAGTACCAGCAAATTTAATTTAATTTAATTATTTATTTCTTTTTGAGATGGAGTCTTGCTCTATTGCCCAGGCTGGAGTGCAGTGGCAGGATCTCGGCTCACTGCAAGCTCCGCCTCCCGGATTCTAGCCATTCTCCTGCCTCAGCCTCCCAAGTAGCTGGGACTACAGGCGCCCACCACCACGCCTGGCTAATTTTTTGTATTTTTAGTAGAGACGGGGTTTCACCACGTTAGCCAGCATGGTCTTGATCTCCTGACCTCGTGATCCGCCCGCCTTGGCCTCCCAAAGTGCTGGGATTACAGGCGTGGGACACCGCGCCAGGCCGCACCAGCAAATTTAAATGGAGACCTATGAAAACTGGGCAAATGTTCCCATTGAATTAGTAATCTAAATTAGTAACCTCAAACTGTTTTAACGGTTACTACTAAAACATGTTTGCATGTGTATCCCAAAATGAATATAATTTTTAACTACAAATAAGTACAGACACTGCTTTGTTAATACATCATGCAAAATTATAAAACATAAACTGGAAATTATAAATGGGTGAGGTTTAAAACTAAACAGAAATAGCAATGTTAACATTTTACTTCCACACCCCAAATGATTATCCTCTGCAAATCAGTGTGGAAGCCTCTGACCTCAAATTGAAAACTAGGTGATGTAGTTGTGTGACTTAAAATCTGGCAAAATAAAATCTTTCAAATACAATTCTTTCAGGTAACATTTGCTCTCGTTTGTTGACATTCAGAGTGCATGCATTTTAAGTGAATTTTTAGAGTTGATAATGCACGTGTCATAATTTAGGGTCTGTCGTCCCAGGTTAATTTCTCAGCAAGATACATGCTCCCTACATTGAATCTTTTCTTACAAGGTTTTTTCATTAGGTTTCAGAAGAGGTCTGTAACCTCCAAATGTGAGTAATTGCTCCTCTGATACATTTCCTTCCATAATCAAGAGGACATGTTTGATAAACATTTAACTACAGCCAGAATGCAACTTGCAAGTTTTGTCTGGGCCTAAGTTAAGGACTGAACACGTAGCCCAGATGTTAACTATTTATTGACTGAATAATGGACTGGGAATGAGAAGAAGAATGTTTTAGTACCTGCCCTATCACTATCTATCTCTGTGGTCTTAAATGTGGAGCTAGTTAGCCTTTGTGGGACTCAAGTTTTTTTTAATCCTTAAAGTGAGGGAGATGAATGATCTCTAAACATTCCAATGCTTGCCTAGCAATAATAATGTATAATTCCAAGTGTATAATCAAATGTCTTAATATTATTGTTGAGATTTAGATGCCTCTTTCTGTATTTCCTAAGGTTACATATATCCAAAGTTTTTTCTCCCTCTGGCATACACTTGAGGTTTCTGGAGGTGGGAAGTTGATGCCACAGGCCGTGTCCTAAAGGGTCAGGCTGGCTAGCAGGGAGAAACTGCTAATGAATGATACAGTCAATTTTTACATAGTCGGTTGCATCCACATCACTTAACTTAAAACTCTGAGTAAGTAGAAGACGCTTGTCTTTTTTCCTAAGTTCTACACAGTGATACCAAATATTAAGATATTAGAACCTTGCATAGACAATGCTGTACTTCAGCATATGAAACTCTGTTTAATATGTAACTCCTAAGGTTTATTGTGTGAACATATCTAAGTGGCCAGCACTTGCTGTACTGGGAACTTCGCCATCCATAAAATGGGTCCCTTAAGGTTTCAAGAAGCGTGCTTATTGATTGGGTAGTGTAACTTCCTTTTTTTCCCCTTTAAACGCGTTGGTGTTTTTAAAGCTACAAACCCTTAACATGATAGAAGGGACAGCTCATTATAAAAGCTAGGAAGAGCCGGGATTTGGATGTGAAAGGTTAAATTTGAGAAAAGAAATATGTAAAAAGTAAAACACAAAAATGCCTGCATCTTCTAATCATCACTCAACAGTGAAGACTCTTGCCCTTAACAGATTTATTATAACTAGAACAGGAAGGCAAGTGAGCATATTATAACGCTTCATTTCCATTGTTTTTCTTAATTTTTTCTAGTGCTAAACCATAATAAATAAGATCAGTTCAAAATTTTCTTGCTGAAGAGGAAAGGTTAATTATCTTTAAACAATATCTATTCAAAGACCTTTCCTAGTCTACAGGATGCCTGATTGAGTTAAAACAGGAAGAGGGATTAGTGTCTGAAGGAAGGTCTTGATGACCAGTAAGAAATTGAAGTAAAACTTATAAAACTCCCGAGACGTTTCAGTGGAGAATATTGAATACTGGGTCATATGTTCTCAATGAAATGGTAATCTCTATCAATAGTCTCTAAAACTTTAAAATTGTGATCACTAAAAAAATTTTTCATATGCACCACAGTGTATGTATAATTATTTATAAATAAGTACAGATACTACTGTATTAATCGCATACTAATAAAACATAAAGTGAAAATTATAAAGGGATGAGATTTACAAATAAATATAGAAATTCTAATATTTTGTTCCCAAATTTCGGTGGACTGTTCTTTGCATATCACTGAAGGCCACTGGTGAAATTCAAAATTAAATAATGTACTTGTAAGACTTTAAAATACGGTTTTAGAAAATTTCTTTCAAATATCATCCTTTCTAGTAGTGTAAAAGATCAAAGAACCAAGTAGCTATCCGCTTTTTTCCTACAAGTGAGTTTTGAAAAACAGCTGTCTAATGGAAAGCAAGATTTCTTGTCTATTTTCCCCTTCCTAGGCATCTTAAAAGTTAGGACATTTGGCCTTAAATTACTTATCAGATCCTTGCTCCCTCCTCTACCTCCTAGGATTTCCCCACATCAGCTGGCAGTCCCCAGGCACTGCCAAAGGGTGGTGAGAAGAGAAGCTACAAAAAGGGGGAAAAATAAGCTAAACTATTTGCTTTACTGTTACTAAGCAGGAAAAATCGGACCCTGCTTCATTTCAGAGAAGGAAATATTCCGGAACAGCCAACTTACTTGTTGTCTCTGCAACTTCACTTCTTTGCGAAGCTGCTCAACTTCCATTTTCAGTTTTTCCTTCTCTGGCAAATCTTCGATGTGAAGGGCAGGCATTTTCGCCCCAGAACCGGGCTCGGGCTAGCTCTGGCAGCGGAGCCGCTGGAAGAGCGGCGAAGCTCGGCGCGTCCCGAAACAACTGAAGGCCTGGCCCGCCGCCCACCCGCGCAGGATGTGACTGCAGCCCTGCTGCGGTCCCCAGCTCCCCGAGGGCTTGGCTTTCTCCGGGACGCTTGTCACGCCAGCGTGCCCCAGCTTCCTAGGACCTGAGAACTCTGCCTTTTCTCAAGTCCCTGCAACCCAGGAGGCCTGCCCGGGTGCTAGATGAGGGTTAAGTTTGAGACTGGGTCCAAGCAGCTTCCCGCTGCTCAATCGCCCAGCAGGGATGCTGGCCACGGACAGGCCCTGACTCAGGACCTGCCACGCCCGCGGGGGACGGCTGGGCTGGGGCTGCAGGACTGGGAACAGCAGAAGTTTTACTTTGTGTTCTCCGCGCACCCCCGCTCCTTTTTTTTTTTCCGTTTCCAAGTCACATCCGGGTTTTGTTTGTGAAGCTAGGAAAAGGAGTACACTACCCAGCAGGAAATAACTACCCTTCACCTCTCAAAGAGTTTTAAAAATATGCTAGATATAGCTTTTCCCTAATTACATACATAGGTTGTTGCAAAAGTAATTACTTTTCTCTAATTACATATATAGGTTGGTGCAATTAGTTTTGCACCAACGTAATAAATGCATAGTGGAGAATGCGGACGCTTAAGAAAAGGCTGAAAAGAAAATGAAGCTTAGCCCTAATCCCAGAAATACCCACCAGTGTTCTGCTCATTTGTGTCCATCCGGCTTGTTCGAGGCCTAATATGGGTTTATACATTTTGGGCGAGGAGGGGGCAACAGGGTGTGAATATCGTTTACAAGTTGCAAGAACATTTTCTATTATTAAATAATCATCTGCATCCTCAACAGCAGCAGAGTTTGTATTTTTTTTATTTTTCCGGGGGAATGTTATGTAGAGGGGTGCATCAAAGGATGATATAAGAGAAGACAGAAGCAGGAATCTTAGAGTTCTTAACCGAAAGCCTTTCTCCACTCCCCAACCCTAAGTTTTGGGTGACACTTGACACCAAGGATTTTGAATTCCTGGCTCCTGAACCTTCCTGGATGTAGGCAGTGGATTCATTTAGTATTAGTTTCTCCACTTTCTGGCAAGCACTATTTATCTAGCTGTTGCTCTGGAAAGCCAGGAAAAGTGTCCGATGTGAAAAAAGTTTACATGCAATAAAACTTTCCCTTTAACTGTAACTAAAGTCTTGTTGATGGTGGTCAAAAGAGTAGAAGAAAAATCAAACATGAATGTAAGAAACCTTCCCTAGCAGTTGGATATTTCTCTTTCTTTCCAGAGATAACCTCCTGCCTCACAGAGTCAAAGGCAAGTGAAATATTAACTTAATATTTCAGAGTAGCTGACCCAAGACACCCATGACCATTCCCTGTTTAGGAAGCAGGAGTTTTTGTTCGTTCCTAGTTTCTTACCACGCTCCGCTCAACCTCAATGAATAAATTAGAATGAAAAAAACAATGAACCACTTAATGAATACTCCTGGCGTGTAGTTGCAGCTCTGCCACAGGCCATCACTGAAGAAGTCATTTAATTTTTCTTAGTTTTGGTTTTCTAATTTGTAAAATGTATAGTAAGGCAGGGAAGTAGTGAATCAGCTAAGCTATGTTGTGTCTCTAATTGTGTTGGTATGTCTATATATGATAAATCATTTTCACAAAGAAAATGTTTAAGAGCTTCACTTTCAATATTTGAAATACCAGGGTTTTCCAAGCTCAGAGTAGTTAGAGCATCTACTGAAGTTTACTTGTAAATAAGCAGGGAGACTAGACAAATGTCCATATCTGTCTTGTGCACTAATTCATTTTTAAAATTTTCTATTACTTAAATTTAAAAGGTTGGTCAAAAATACCTTAAATTAGTGAAAGTAATCAACGTGAATGTGGCCTAAATTAAATAGGTTCAGCACCTAAGTTAAATAAATTGGTTAAATAAATTATTGTGTTTTTGTTCTTTTTTTTGTTTTTTTGTTTTTTTGTTTTTTTTTTTTTGAGACGGAGTCTCGCTCTGTCGCCCAGGCTGGAGTGACTGGCACGATCTCCGCTCACTGCAAGCTCCGCCTCCCGGGTTCACGCCATTCTCCCGCCTGAGCCTCCGGAGGAGCTGGGACTACAGGCGCCCGCTACCACGCCTGACTAATTTTTTGTTAATGTGTGTTTGTTCTAAGTCATAAAAATATAATTATTTTGGCTTTGAAGTTTCTTTCCCATGAAATCATCTAGTTGCTTAGAGGGATAAATACTTATAAGCCCATATTGGTTCTTTAACTTTTCCCATCGTATTATGAGACGTATTAGAAACAAAATACTTGTTAGTCTTTTTTATTGTTATTAAATAATTCATATTCTAATATCTTAAGTAAATTGATTAAACTGAAGTGAATTGCAAAATGTTGAAATTGCATGATCACACAGGATTCTGAAAAAGGTTTTATTGTTGCTGGTTTCCTGTTTGTTTGTTTGTTTGTTTGAGACGGGGTCTTGCTCTGTCACCCAGGCTGGAGTGCAGTGGCGCGATCTCGGCTCTCTGCAAGCTACGCCTCCTGGGTTCACGTTATTCTCCTGCCTCAGCCTCCCAAGTAGCTGGGACTACAGGCGCCCACCACCACGCCCAGCTAATTTTTTTGTATTTTTAGTAGGGACGGGGTTTCGCTGTGTTAGCCAGGATGGTCTCGATCTGCTGACCTCGTGATCCGCCCGCCTCGGCCTCCCAAAGTGCTGGGATTACAGGCGTGAGCCACCGCGCCTGGCCCTGTTTGGTTTTAAATAGTAAAATGATGAGAATATTTTTTTTTAAACAAAAGGATGTGTAGTCTTCTATGCCTAGACACCGAATTTACCTCCCAGAGAAGAACCATGTTAAGCAATTTCTCATGTATACTTGCAGAAATAGTTTATCAGCAATATTCAAAAATTTTGAATAAATAAATTTTAAAATTTGTTTAGCTGTGTCCAAATGTTTTGTTAGGTTTTTACTTATATTTTACATAGTACCCCGGTAAAATTTATTTTACAAGTAGTATGAGTAGAAACCATTCTTTAGTAAAAATGACAGGTGCAACCAGCAATGAACTTTGATTAATTAGCCCACTGTCGTTTCACAAATGTTTTATAGAAATTAGTTAATAAAAATAAAAGTAACCATTTTCACTTTTAAATTATAAAAGAGTAACAACCATGAAATTTTTACTTTGGTATGCAAAAATAGGAAAAACAAGGTTTTGACAATTTTTGTGATTTGTTATGTTGTTAAAAATCTATATAAAGAAAAATAAAACATTGAAGGCAGTTAAACTGGAATTGAGCTAATACTAACTTGAACTCAAAAAAGATCAGGATTCTGGTCTTATTTTATCTTGTGATTTTTGCAAGAAACACATTATTTCTGCTTTTTTATTTCGTGTAAGTAAACTAGGTTACCTTTCAAAGTCTGCTCTTCTAAAATTTATAGAGTGACTTTGAGAGGCCGATACAGGAGGATCACTTGAGACCAAAGGTTCAGGAGTTTGAGACCAGCCTAGGCAACATACCGAGACCCCGGTCTCTACAAAAAAATAAATAAATATAAATAAATAAATAAATAAATTTAAAAAGTGCATAGTAACTGTTTTGACCATTGAAATTATGGTTTCTTTAAAGAAAGTACACTTCAGACGCTCTTGGTTCATTTGATATTTGTTTTAATCTGTTAAAACAATCATGAGGCAATTTTCAGGAGCTCATTTGTTTCCTGTAACTACCTACCTAAGATTCCTTTTCTTTTTTTTTTTTTTTTCTTGGGCAGGGGAAGGAGTTTAACTCTTGTTGCCCAGGCTGGAGTGCAATGGCGCGATCTCTGCTCACTGCAACCTCCGCCTTCCGGGTTCAAGTGATTCTGCTGCCTCAGCCTCCCGAGTAGCTGGGATTACAGGCGTGTGTCACCACAGCCAGCTAATTTTGTTTTTCTTTTTTTCTTTTCTTTTTTAGTAGAGACGGGGTTTCACCATGTTGGCCAGGCTGGTCTCAAACTCCTGATCTCAGGTAATCCTCCCACCTAGGACTCCCAAAGTGCTGGGATTACAGGCGTGAGCCACTGCACCCAGCCCTAAGATTCCTTTTCTAGATGAAGAGAATGCCAAGTCAAAGGATGATCTGTGTCTGATGCTCTGAGTATCTTAGCAACTACTTATAATTCAGGATATCAAAATGATTTCTCTGGCTGGGAGTGGTGGCTCTCACCTGTAATCCCAGCACTTTGGGAGGCTGAGGCAGGAGGCTCACATGAGGTCAAGAGTTCGAGACCAGCCTGGCCAGAATGATGAAATCCCTTCTCTACTGAAAAAAAAAAAAAAAAAAATAGCCAGGTGTGGTGGCATGAAATTGCTTGAACCCAGGAGGCAGAGATTGCAGTGAGCCAAGATCGTACCACTGCACTCCAGCCTGGGCGAGAGAGTAAGACTCCATCTCAAAAAAATAAAATAAAATAAAATACAAATAAAAATAAATGATTTCTCTTACCAATTTTGTTTCTATATTACTTTAACTCCCATCATATATAACTGATCATTCTCATTACTTAGTTTACTATTTTCCTCATGTAAACACATTATTGAGGCATTTAGGAAGTTTGATCCAATATAAACTTTTATAAGCACCACTCTTGCCTGCTTTTAAAGTCAATTACATTGTCCAGACAATTTGTTAGTTGATATGACACTTTTCAAAGATGAACAGTGCTTCTGACTTGGGAAATCTCCAATGTAGTACTGAAATTAAAACAACCGTAGAAATTATAATGAGAAAAAGTAAAGTAACGTTAAATGACTTAAGAGACACACAAAATACTCTTGAGGTAGAATGGGAGAGATAGTCTCATAAGAAGAGTAGGATTTCAAAAGGCTGAAATGGGGTGGAGTGGAGGGAGATCTCAGGTGGAGGGATCAGTATGACCAAATTCCAGGTGGTGGGAAAATGTCCACGGGAAGTATAATAATAGAGGACATTTGTTAGGCTTCTTTCTATGTACCCGTTTCTGATCTAAGAGATTATAAGTATTCAGATAATCTAGCCTAATCACTAATTTTATATATAAAAAAAAACAGATTCAAAAAGTTCACGTCATTTGTCCAAGTTCTCAATGACAAGGTGGAAGAGTCAGGGTTTTAATTTTGAATTGTTGGGCTGCAAACTTTGTCTCCAATGGTAAACTGAAAGTTAGAGATGTTGGTTAGGACCATCTTCTACAGGTTACTGAATGCCATAGCATGTACTTACTTTGTATTTATTTTAATCAGAGAAAGGGAGATATACTGAACACTTCACTAAATAAATACTAACTTGCAGGTGGAAAACTTCTAGAGACAAACCACAATTAAATAAACAAATAAATTGTAGTATGCCAGGTGGTGATGGTGCTACGGGGGAAAATAGACTGAGAGAGAGAGACAGGAAGCGCTTGGTGGAGGTTGGGAGGACTGTATGGAGAGGGTTTTGTAAATTTAAATAGGAGGATAAAAAGCTTTTCTTGAGGAAAAATAGATAAGACATTCAGTAACTAATCCCAGAATCCCTTAATACTCAGAGCACATTTGATGAAGACACGTGGTGGGGTGTGTTGCTGACTGTTCAGCCAGAAGCCCAGAGTCTTGACCGAAGAAATTTGTCAGGTGACTTCTCTGAAACTTTATTTTCTCCATTTCAAAATGAAGAGTTTAGACAAGAGTCAACAGATATTTGTTGAGCATTTATGATGATCAGAGTGGGAGGGCATTGTGCTAGAAGCCAAACTTTGGTACAACTTTCAGACTCCCTTCCAGACCAAATAATAGATAATTTTAATGTTTTTTTTTAAAGTGTGACAATCAATTAGTATTTCTGAGTATTCTGATCACTGAAGTATACAAAATAGCACTGTAAATGTGAGACAGCAACAAGAAAACACTGACCACAAAAGTGGTTACTGATTTAGGTAATTACAACTTGTCATTTGTTACAGAAGCAGAGGCAAGTTTTCTCTTAGTCATTAACACAATGGTAGTGAAATGTGACTCATGTAAACTCAACAGGATGCCAGAAGGACCTGATGTAGGTGATGGAGATTTCTCTCTCATGTGTGCTCACCTTGTTAAAGAAAAGACTGTGGTGTTGAGTCTTCATGATGATAGGGTAAAATAGCATGTTTCTTAAAGCACTTTAGAAATTTTGTCTAGATCCTTTCTCAGTAATAATACTAGTTAACACTTATTGTATCTTACCATGGACCAGGTAATATGCTGAGTGTTATAGTTGCATTAGTGTATTACTTAACCCCTACACAAAACAGAAGATATAACCATTATTGTCTTCATCCTATGCTAGGAGAAACAAATTTAGAAAGAATTAAGTAGCTTATCCAAAGTGAGTTGGGCAGTAAAGTGGCAGAGCCAGAACTGTCTGGCTCCTAAGTGCATGCTTATAACCGTGATTCTGCTGCTGGTTAAATTCACCGTGCTCCGTGACCACAGACTGAACCCTCAACCCAGTTGGCATTCTGGGGAAAAGTCACAAGATAGGTGAACTGCATATCAGAAAAATAAGCTTCCTAATTCCATAAGCAAGAGAAAGTTTGGGAAAGAAAACAGAAATTTAACCACAAAATTTCTGGGTAGAAAGTTATAAGTATTGAAAGGGAAGTGAAAAAACATAAAACAGTAAATATATGCTGACAACTCAGAATAATATAGAATCATTTATAAAACATAGTTCTTTTTAAAGAACTTTAAGCAATATTTTTTTGGCAATTATGTGTTAAACCCTGTGCCAGCTATGTTAAGAAAAACATAGAATGATGGGTTACCACACCCCAATTTTTATTAAAAGTTTACATCTATAAATTTAAAAATTCATGTACATGCATAGTAGTAGCATTATGTGTGAAAAAAATCCATATTGTTGTTAACGTTTGAGATATTTCCAAGAATTTGTTTAATTTTTTTTCTTTTTTTTTTGGTATTTTGAAATCACACAGCCTCCTTTGAGCTCTTTGAAGGGATTTTTGTCCTCTGGGATGCCCTTTACCAGTGGATCCTTGCCAGATCATTCTTCAACGTAATCTCTTCTTCACAACATTTGGATACCTTAAGGGGAAGGAAAAACGGATGACTCATTTGGTTTAAAACAGAATACTCCAGATGCCAAGAATTTATTTACTGCAATAAGTTTTCAGGTCGTATAATTTCAGTTTGATTCTCTCTGCTTTCCACCAATGCATACGTACTTTGTAGGAAAGAAGAAAGTTGCACCCTTCCCACTCCTTCTGGATATATCTCCAGACAAAGGAAAAACAGCTGGCCATGCTCCAGCTAAAGATTCCCCGTAGACACTGCCTCCAACATCAAAGGAGACAAGACCCAGGAATCAGAACACAACTGGCAACGGAAGTCAAGAATGTCATCAGATTTCATACTGATTAAATCTTTTTCCTCATTCCAAAAATGTGACTCGTAAAGGTGGAAGAGAATAATTATTAAATTCCAGGCTTATCATCATCCCTAAATTCTCAGAAGTATATACATGGCGTGATCTCCACTCACTGCAACCTCCATCCTCCACCTTCTGGGTTCAAGTGATTCTCCTGCCTCAGCCTCCTGAGTAGCTGGAATTAGAGGCACACGCCACCATGCCCAGCTAATTTTGTATATTTAAGTTTGTTTTTGTTTTGGTAGAGACAGGGTTCACCATGTTGGCCAGGCTGGTCTCGAACTGCTGATCTCAGGTGATCCTCCCATTTAGGCCTCCCAAAGTGCTGAGATTACAGGCATGAGCCACTGCACCTGACCCTAAGATTCCTTTTCTAGATGAAGAGAATGCCAAGTCAAAAGATGAACTGTGTCTGATGCTCTGAGTATCTTAGCAACTACTTATAATTCATGGTATCAGAATGATTTCTCCGGTGAGGAGTGGTGGCTCAGGCCTGTAATATCAGTACTTTGGGAGGTCGAGGCGGGAGGATCACTTGAGGTTAGGAGTTTGAGACCAGCCTGGCCAACATGGCAAAACCTCTTCTTTACTAAAAATACAAAAAGAGTTAGCCGGGCGTGGTGGGACTGAATTACTTGAACCAGGGAGGCAGAGGTTGCAAGTGAGTCAAGATCGTACCGCTGCACTCCAGCCTGCGTGAGAGAGTGAGACTCTTGTCTCAAAAGAATAAAATAAAATAAAAAATAAAAAAACAGATTTCCCTCACCATTTTTTTCTGTAAGACTTTAACTCCCATCATACATAATTGATCATTCTCATTACTCAGTTTACTATTTTCCTCATGTTAACTCATATTTTAGTAATTTAGGAAGATTGATATTAGCTTGGTTTTAAAATTTGGCTAAAATAAAACCAGTACAAATTAAAACAACAGTGAGGTGTTTTCTTTTCTTTTTTCTTTTTCTTACTAAAGCTTACACTCATCTATGTGTGCAAAATATGTTTAAAGTCCAAGTAGCTCAAATGATATATTGTAGTATCTATAATAACTCATTCTCATTAATGACACCAGAAAATTTTGTTAAAGAGTCACATGTTAAGGTTGTGTGGGAGTGGTTTTTGTTGCCTTGTAGTCTTACTTCATTTTCTTTAACCTAGTTATCCCAGTCCTGAAATAACAAATTCTGAACAAACCAAAGTCACTGACAGTTATAGCTCTGTAGCCTGTGGGACAGTCATGATTTCATTTCCTTCTTCCTGGACCATCTTTCTCTATACTTCCTTCCTGTGATTTCTCTCTTACTCAAAACCTGCTGACAATCTGTGTTTTAAGCAACAGGAATTGTCCCCTACTGGTGATTTAATCATGAATTAAGTCAATAAGAATTCTGAATTATCCAATATAAACATTTTATAAGCACTATTCTTGCCTGCTTTTAAAGTCAATTTCATTGTCCAGACAATTTGTTAGTTGATATGACAGTTTCAAAGATGAACAGATCTTCTGGCTTGGGAAATTTCCAATACAGCACTGAAATTAAGACAACCATAGAAATTATAATAAGAGAAAGTAAAGTAATGTTAAATGACTTAAGAGATACACAAAATACTCTTGAGGTAGATTGGGAGAGAAAGTCTCATAGAAGAGTAGGATTTCAAAAGGCTGAAAATGGGGTGGGGTGGAGTGGAGGGAGATTTCAGGTGGAGGGATCAGTATGACCAAATTCCAGATGGTGGGAAAATGTCCACGGGAAGTATAATAATAGAGGACATTTATTAGGCTTCCTTTTATATACCCATTTGTGATCTAAGGGATTACAAGTATTCAGATAATCTATCCTAATCACTAGTTTTATACAAAAAAAAAAAAAAATGTTCAAAGAGTTGAAGTCATTTGGTCATTTGTCCAAAGTTCTCAATGACAAGGTGGAAGAGTCGGGGTTTTAACTTCACATTGCTGGGCTTCAGAATCTGTCTCCAATGGTAAACTAAATGTCATAGCAAATATTTACTTTGTATTTATTTTAATCGGAGGAAAGGGGCCATACTGAACACTTCACTAAATAAATACTAATTTGCAGGTGGAAAACTTCTAGAGGCAAACCACAATTAAATAAACAAATAAATTGTAGTATGCCAGATGGTGACGGTGCTACGGAGGAAAATAGAGTGCGAGAGAGAGACAGGAATTGCTTGGTGGAGGTTGGGAGGACTGTATGGAGAGGGTTTTGTAAACTTAAATAGGAGGATAAAAAGCTTTTCTTGAGGAAAAATAGATAAGACATTCAGTAACTAATCCCAGAATCCCTTAATACTCAGAGCATATTTGATGAAGACACGTGGTGGGGTGTGTTGCTGACTCTTCAGCCAGAAGCCCAGAGTCTTGACTGAAGAAATTTGTCAGGTGACTTCTCTGAAACTTTATTTTCTCCATTTCAAAATGAAGAGTTTAGACAAGAGTCAACAGATATTTGTTGAGCATTTATGATGATCAGAGTGGGAGGGCATTGTGCTAGAAGCCAAACTTTGGTACAACTTTCAGACTCCCTTCCAGACCAAATAATAGATAATTTTAATGTTTTTTTTAAAGTGTGACAATCAATTAGTATTTCTGAGTATTCTGATCACTGAAGTATACAAAATAGCACTGTAAATGTGAGACAGCAACAAGAAAACACTGACCACAAAAGAGGTTTCTGGTTTAGGTAATTACAACTTGTCATTTGTTACAGAAGCAGAGGCAAGTTTTCTCTTAGTCATTAACACAATGGTAGTGAAATGTGACTCATGTAAACTCAATAGGATGCCAGAAGGACCTGATGTAGGGGATGGAGATTTCTCTCTCATGTGTGCTCACCTTGTTAAAGAAAAGACTGTGGTGTTGAGAGTCTTATGAGGATAGGGTAAAACATCATGTATCTTAAAGGATTTTGGAAATTTTGTCTAGATCCTTTCTCAGTAATAATACTAGTTAACACTTATTGTATCTTACCATGGGCCAGGTAATATGCTGAGTGTTATAGTTGCATTAGTGTATTACTTAACCCCTACACAAAACAGAAGATATAACCATTATTGTCTTCATCCTATGCTAGGAGAAACAAATTTAGAAAGAATTAAGTAGCTTATCCAAAGTGAGTTGGGCAGTAAAGTGGCAGAGCCAGAACTGTCTGGCTCCTAAGTGCATGCTTATAACCGTGATTCTGCTGCTGGTTAAATTCACCGTGCTCCGTGACCACAGACTGAACCCTCAACCCAGTTGGCATTCTGGGGAAAAGTCACAAGACAGTTGAACTGCATATCAGAAAAATAAGCTTCCTAATTCCTTAACCAAGAGAAAGTTTGGGAAACAAAATAGAAACTTAACCATACAATTTCTGGGTAGAAAATTGTAAGTGTTGAAAGGGAAGTGAAAAAACATAAAACAGTAAATATATGCTGACAACTCAGAATAATATAGAATCATTTATAAAACATAGTTCTTTTTAAAGAACTTTAAGCAATATTTATTGGCAATTATGTGTTAAACCCTGTGCCAGCTATGTTAAGAAAAACATAGAATGATGGGTTACCACACCCCAATTTTTATTAAAAGTTTACATCTATAAATTTAAAAATTCACGTACATGCTTAGTAGTAATAGTATGCATGAGAAAAATTCATATTGTTATTAACATTTGAGATATTTCCAAGAATTTGTTTAATTTTTTTTCTTTTTGTTTGTATTATGAAATCACACAGCCTCCTTTGAGCTCCTTGAAGGGATTTTTGTCCTCTGGGATGCCCTTTACCAGTGGATCCTCGCCAGATCGTTCTTCAACGTAATCTCTTACTTCTTCACAACATTTGGAAACCTTAAGGGGAAGGAAAAAGGGATGACTCATTTGGTTTAAAACAGAATACTCCAGATGCCAGGAATTTATTTATTACAATAAATTTTCAGGTTGTATAATTTCAGTTTGATTCTCTCTACTTTACACCAATGCATATTTACTTTGTAGGAAAGAAGAAAGTTGCACCCTTCCCACTCCTTCTGGATATATCTCCAGACAAAGGAAAAACAGCTGGCCACACTCCAGCTAAAGATTCCCAGCAGACACTGCCTCCAACATCAAAGGAGACAAGACCCAGGGTTCACAACACAGCTGGCAACAGAAGTCAAGGGTGTCACCAGAGTTCATATTGATTAAATCTTTTTCCTCATCCCAAAAATGTGACTAGTAAAGGTGGAGGAGAATGAATAATTATTAAATTCCTGGCTTATCACCATCCCTAAATTCTCAGAAGTATACACATGTAATTTTTCTTTACACTCATCTACAATGATTGAGCATGGTGGTGCACTAGGTGAGCTTCAAGGGGTCAGGGACCTTTGGCTGATTTGTTCAGTGTATCCCAGCCATCTAGAACAGAGGCTGTGTTCTTTAGTGCTCAGTGAATAATTTGCTGGACTGAATTATTCATGTTGTTTTTGAGCTTGCTCTTCACTTATCTGCACCATTATTGTTTAATGATTTAGTAAAAAATCAGGCCTTAATATTTTAATGGCTTCAGCTATAGCCTGTTAAGGTACCACTTAACATTCCTTGTAGAGAGAGGTGATGTTCTATACATATATAAATATACATATATATACATACACACGAAATCAAATTATTCAAACTCTTTTAGCTTCAACTTGTTTGTTTTCAGTTAGTGTATCTTTCATGACAGTAACACTAAGCTACTTTATTTTTGTCAGTCTATTAAGTGGCCATTCCATAAGTCATTTAACCAATTTACTGTTTTTTTTTTTTTCAAATGAAATCTTTAGTCCGCTTTTATGTAAATTCCAAGGAACATTTGATATAAGACTTAAGATTATTTTATAACTAGGCAGACTCATTAATTACATAGTAAAACAAATTATTTTCAACTGGAGCCAGGAAGCATTTGTCAGGTTAGTTTCTTCCTTCAAAGGATGATACTTGCAGATTCACATAACTTTTGAAATATGCATTAATTTAGATTCACTTTTTTCCCTCTTCCTCAGTGGTCCCACACTCTCTCTCTAAAAGTCACTACTTTTGGCTTCACCCAGATGACAGGAACAGAGGTGTAACTTGCTGTCCTTAATTCAGTAGTCCATAAGGGATTGGTTTTGAAGGTGCCTGGCTGGGATCTGAGGATATGAGAATGAAAGGAGCAACAAATTACCTAAAATTATATATGTGTATAGGTTTAAAAATTATTTCAGTGATGCTTAATATAAATATATGTAGTTTAACATAGGATTGCAAGACTCTTCTCATTTACTAGCTATTTAGTCTTAGTTAAGGTAATTCATCTAAGGTTCATTTACTTCATGTATAAAATATGAATAGCTGCATTGGTTGCCTTAAATGCCTAAGAGGTGCCTGGCACAAGAAGATGCACAATCAAATAGTAACTATTTTTAGCTATTACTACAAAGGTTGTCTTTAGTCATGGCCTATTACATTGACTTATAGTCATTGCAAATCTATCAGCTTCAGAAACTGGATGCAAAGACTTGTCGTACTCAAAAAAAATCACAATAATATGAATCAGTCTGGTTCATAGAATCAATAATAATTTTAAGATAATAATAATATAATGACATAAAGCACTTGCTATTACCAGGCATTGTTCTCAGAGCTTTGTGTATATTATCTTGTTTATTCCTCCCAATTATCCTCTGAATTAAATGCTATTACTATCGCTATTTTGAAGAAACAGAGGC
Source organism: Homo sapiens (assembly GCF_000001405.40). NCBI lineage: Eukaryota > Metazoa > Chordata > Mammalia > Primates > Hominidae > Homo > Homo sapiens. The sequence goes on along the minus strand of NC_000007.14, from coordinate 93,908,903 downwards.
ACAGGTGAGTTAGATAACATAGATGAGGGTTGCACAGGCAAAAATTTGTTGTGGAGCAAGAATCTGAGCTGGGAATATGGTTTCAGAGTATATCCAATTAACCATACTGTACTGATTATCCACTTAACCACTTACCCATACTGAGTATATCCACTTAACCATACTGTACTGATTATACATCAGAGCTAGGGGCTCAGGACCTGGAAGTTCCATTTTATATATAATATAACATATTATTATATATTTTATAGAGAAATAATATTTCTATATATTACATACATATTTCTACACACTATATAAATTCATTTGTTGAACTCCTAACTCCCTCGGTGGGGTTTTTGGTAGGTAATTAGGTCATGAAGACAGAGTTCTCATAAATAGGATTACCGTCCTTATAAAAGAGACCCCAGAGAGCTTCGTCATCCCTATCACCAGGTGAGGACAAAATGAAAAGACAGGTGTTCATGAAGGAGGGAGCAGGCCCTCGCCAGACGCTGAATCTGCTGATGTCTTGATCTTGGATGCCCCAGCTTCCAGAGCTGTGAGAAATACATTTCTGTTGGTTAAAAGTCACCAGTCTATGATACTCTGGTACAGCACCCTGAGGAGACTAAGAGGGTACATGTATATGTATGTGTATCTATATGCATGTGTGTTTGTGTGTGTATGTATATGGAGTTTTTGCAGTCTGATATTAAATTGGTTTGACTTCCAAGAGCAGAGAGACATTGAATAATGGGGAAAAGGAACCCCAAAGCCTGATTAATGATGATGTATGCGATGTTTACCCAAAATAAAAAGTCCAAGGTGAACTTACCACAAGTGAATAATAAACACGAAGACAATCACCTTGCCTACAAAACAATAATCCTGAGTACATAAATAATAAAACAGCTTTTGGATATTTCAACTTAAGAAGAGAAAACTTTTCTTTATCCTAAAAGTTCATTTTATTTACCCTGAATTGTAAAAATAAGGACTTTAACTTGTCTGGTGTATGTTCTAAGCCTTAGTAATGATTTAATTTTATCTTTACAGCAAAACGTTTTGCCTGTATGGAAAGGGCAACAGGGGAGTTTGAGATTATTATAAACATAGACGAAGCCCAAAATCCCAGTTTTGACTGGGAGCAGGCATTTTGAACAAAGTATGAAGATAACACAAGATCCTTTTTTACTTTGTCCTGATAAAATGAGATGTTTTAAAATTATGAGATTGCTGTTACCACTTGTGGAGGTTTTGTTCTACTGTTAATAACTTTCCTAAAATGAAGTGATCTAAAATACATATCTACATTCTCCAAGCTTTCATCACTGTTTGTTTGGTGGTTTATTCCTTTGCCATTTCTTCTCCTTCTAATGGCAGTGAACTGTTGGTAACCCTTTCCAAGATTTGTCAGAAGTTTGTAGGAGGAACCAGTGAGTTCTTATGTTTGAACTCATCTTTATTTGCCAAAGAAGAGTAGAATGTACTTATGTATTACTGACCATGACAGTGGAGAGGGGTTGACATCATAGCTTAAAGTATTGCAGCAATATCAAAACATTGTATCAAAATATCAATATCAAAATATTGCATTATAAAAAGAAGTTTAGAAAAGTAAAAACAAAATGCCTATATTATTGCATGCGTATATTTATTTTATTGCTTATCTAAAATATGGTTTTTGTCTCATATTCTCCTTTTTCTCTTTTTCTTTTCTTTCTCTTTTATTTCTTTCTTTCCTTCTTTTTCCCTTTCTTTCTCTCTCTCTTCTTTCTCTCTTTCTTTCTTTCTTCCCTTCTCTTTAAAAATGAAAAAGCATTCTTATCTTTGTGGTCATACAAAAAGAGGCTAAGGATTGGGCTTGGCCAGAGGAAAATGGTTTGCCAACCTCCTTGATTTAGAATCTAAATCAAGAGATAGTTATGATTGATTATCAATTTTCTTAATCTTTGATAAATTTTTAGATGAACAATTTATTTGTAACTACATTGAGCCTTTCCAGCCAATGTTTTCTAACCTGGTACTCCCACAGTATCTCTAGCTTAAAATAAAATACTAAAGAAAGCAGCAACTTACTAGCATTCTTTCCAGTGTCACTTCTTTCTTGAGCTGGTCAACTTCCATCTTCAATTTGTCCTTTTCTGTCAGGTCCTCAATATTGATTACTGGCATCTTTTTGCCTGCTGAAGATGTAGAAGGTTAGCAGCTATGCATGAATTGCTGGAGTTATTTCAAGTCAGTCTTAGCCAACAATTCCCTCAGCTCTTAACTTACAAAGTAAACTGTTCTTTGTTTTATTTTAAATATCCCACGATAACCAATTTCATATGAGCTCTCTCTCTTAACAATTCTAGCAATGCACACTAGCCTTGGGATTTTAAAGCTTCTTCCTAATCTTCACTAATATGATTAAGTCAAGCATTTGACTCCAAACACCTGTTCAGCAGGTTTGTTGGGAGGGGTGAGTTTTGTCAGTATATAATCTAAAATACTTAAAGCGCCTCCTTGCCCCTGGTCTTTTGTATAGTGTAAAATTTGGGGTTTCCAATCCTTACTTTCAATTCCAAAACCCTCCACCTATGTTTTATGTCATTTAACTTAATTTGAGGTCATTTGGATGACGGTCCATTAATTCCCTAAATCTCTAGAGTATTTAACCTGGTATTAAAAGGGAACCATATAAAAAGTATCACTATAATTTCATTATAAATAATGGATTGTTTAAATGTGTACCCGTAGAATGGAAATATAGTAAACAGTCTTATTAATCAGAAATAAACTAGCGTATTACTTGTGAGCGTTTTTCCAACAACACATGAAATTTGCCTGTAACTGTCACAATGAATCTGGTAACAATGATGAGAAAATTTAGCAGGCTAAAGGGGACATAGCAAGTCTGATCTACCAATAACCTCCTACTAGAACAGACTCTTTCTTCTGCCCTCTTTGCAATTCCTCTTCTCCCCAATTAGACCAGTGAGTAATGGGGAAGAAGGCTCAATAGCTGGTGATAGTCCTATGAAATTGCCTGGGAAAGATTTCAGTGTAGCCAAATGGCATTGTACCTATAGTGTCTCCTCCTTCTCCCTAGTCCAATTTTTGTAATGAAGTATTATTATAAAAGTAAGTGTATATAGATCACATACTATTTCAGAGAACAAAATAACATTTTACATCTACATGAAAATACTCTGCTAATAATCTATCAGCAATTAACTTATTTCCTTGAATTTAAATGGTGTTTTCATTTCCAAAACCATTGAAGGAAGATTCTTTCCCTTCCCAGTCTTAAAATACCTTGTTTTTCTCCGGATAAGTAGTAGTTTAAGAATTTTTTTTTTTTTTTTTTTTTTTTTGAGTAGGAATTTCGCTCTGTCTCCAGGCTGGACTGAAGTGGCGCGATCTCAGCTCACTGCAACCTCCGCCTCCTGGGTTCTAGCGATTCTTCTGCCTCAGCCTCCTGAGTAGCTGGGACCACAGGTGCATGCCACCACGCCCAGCTAATTTTTTTATTTTTAGTAGAGGTGGAGTTTCACCGTGTTGGCCAGGATGGTCTCAAGTTTAAGATAATTTTAAGGGACAAATGTCTACATAGGCCAACATAGAGGTAGAAAATAACACACTGTGGGTACTTGAGCCCAATGTGTCCTATGTTTTTATTTTTGCTATTCTGTTCTTTAAGAAACACTATGACTATACAAAGGTTATTTCTTCCTGTATAAGCCTGTTTTGCATTTGGGAACCCAAATTTTATTCTCATCTTCCTTCCCAGTCTTTTAGACTAAATATAAAACTTCATTAAGTATTTTTGATGATCATTTTTACCTTTTGACATTGTTCTTTGCACAATTTTTCTTCATTTTGGAAAACTTTTAATTCCTTTAGGTAATGGCTCTTCACACTCCAGTGTGTGCAGAAATCACTTTAGGAAACTCGTTAAAGTTATGAGTCCAACCTTAGAGATTCTAATTTAGTAGATCTTGTGTTGGGTTTAGAATTTCATTTTCTCTATTCCAGGAAGCCCTCTCATATACTTACCAACAAAATAATCGTTTACTGGTACTTGCTAGCCATGTGACACTGACCAAATTACTTGACCTGCCTGTGCCTTAGTTTACAGGGAAATAGGGGCAATAATATTACCTACCCTGTAGATTTGTTGAGAGTATTAAATGGGGGTAACATAGGTAAGGACTTTGTAATGGCGTGTAGTACATAGCAAGCACTTGCACGTGTTAGCTGGTGTTATTCACTTTGTTGTGCTTCCAGAATTTCAAACTGTACTTTCTTATATGGCCCTTGCCATATAATGTATGTGATCTTATAGGTGCTCTAAAGAAGATAGGTGATATTACTGATACACTTAAAGGAGATCATGCGTACATAATTTGACTCCTTTAATATCATGCATTCCAGATGTTACTGCCCAGCTCTCCTTTTTTTCCAGGGTAAGATACCTAGTCCGCAGCAGCTGCAGGTGTTGACTGTCAAGGGCAAACCTTTTGCTCAGGTTGGCTCTTGTCTGATGGGCAACACTTTTCCTGATGATGCCTGGGAGATTATGCTCCCATCTGACCCCTGAGGTTGACTTGGAGCAAAAGGCTGGCTAATGTGGGGTCCTATCAGCCCAGCCCCCTTGCTTCTGGGCTGAAAAACTTTGTTGTAACTGAGAAACTTCCAGAGCCTTTCCATGGGTTTAGAATGATGCTAGACTTCTGAAACCACTTTTGACTAACTTCTCCTCTTGCCCTAGCCTTACTCCTCTAGCAGTTTCTCCTGAGAGCTTGCCCTGGAAAACTTTCTTACCCAATAATTCCTGTCTTAGGCTTTGCTTCTAGCAAACCCAACCGAAGACACAGTGAATTTTTAGAGCCTTTACAAGGGAGATCATACCTTGCATGACTTTTACGTCCTCATTACTTTCTATTGTTCTGTATATTGTTTGGTATATAGAAGAGATCAGGAAGTATTGACAAAGTCACCTAACCTATGTCATATGCATTTACCTAAACATAGAAAAACATCCAATTTTTCTAACTTCATTTTATCAATAAATGATTTCTTAACTCTAAAATGCTGTGATTCACCATGCTCAATAATATTAAACATTTAAAACACTTTATTTAGGGCAAACATATTATTAGAAGATTCTAGAATTCTTACCAAATTTGATGGCACAGGTCTTATATGAGAAAAAAAGAGGACCAAAATTTTCACTTATTTCAAGGACACAAAGAAGAACAGTGAATATTGTCTGCATGGAGATTCCAAATGTTTAGTGTTATATTGAAGTCAATGGTTCAAATAATTCAAATTTAATATCATCTACTTTACTCCCTATTCCATTTTGCAGATGAGGCAAAGGCATTCCAGGGAGTTTGAATGCCCTAAATTAAACAATGAGAGGCAGTGGAGCTGAGGTTACAATACAGGTGTTTGTTTTTCATTCCAGCATGTCTGAACTGAGGTGTTTTTCATTCCAGCACGTCTCTCTCAAACTAGTGTAAAGGAGTGGATTTCTTTCTTCATACCCCAGAATTACATAGAAAGTCCGGAGTTGATGACAAATAGCACTAAAGCTGCCCCTCATATTCTAAGCTTTCAGGTTGGTCCACTTCTCCACAAAAAAGTCCTAAGAGACTAGGTCAGATTATTATCCCTATTGCCAAACATCCCCACCCCAACTTTAGTCAAAATTTAAGGGGAAGAGTGAAGATCTATAGACAAACAAGCTAAGACTGCTATTACAGCCAGCCTGGGGGAAAGCATACCCTAGTTAAGGAGATGTTTGCCCTTTCACTTCTTCCTCCATCCTGCACTACCATCAGAGTATCTAAGGTCCAATAAAAGGCAGGAGGAGGGTGGGAGTGGGGGAAGTATTTCTGAGTTGTATCCCATCCATAGATCCCTGGTTCTCAATGGGGGCAATACTGCCCCCTAGGGGCCCTCATGAAAATATGTCAGCTTGTTTATAACAGTATTCCATAATTTTTGTGGGTATGGATAAGGAATGTCAGATATCTTGCATTTTCTGGGATCCTGCAGCATAAGATGAAATGTGACACATTCAGCATGACTGTCAGATATGCCAGGCTTCCACATATGCAAAAGCCATATTTATAGTTCTTTGAACCTTGAAACTCACTTCATTTTACATAGAAACAAAATATTTTTCTTGGTTATTATATACACTTTTTACAATAATGCATATAAATAAAAGGAAGACCATTAACCAATAATTTTTGTTTCTCTTTCAGAAAATCATATCACTCTATGTAGGCATGGGCTTGATATATGTGTATCTATTCTCGGCTGCTATGTCCGTGGTAATTCTATACATAAATCTATTTCATTATGTATAGTCATGGTGAATATTTTCATATTGTATTTAGTCTATATAATTTGCTGATTTTTTGTATTTTATAAATATAATTTAGGTACTGTGATGGCTAATACTGAATGTCAACTTGATTGGATTGAAGGATGCAAAGTATTGATCCTGAGTGTGTCTGTGAGGGTGTTGCCAAAGGAGATTAACACTTGAGTCAGTGGGCTGAAAAAGGCAGACCCATCTTTAATCTGGGCGGGCACAATCTAGTCAGCTGCCAGTGCAGGCAGATTAAAAAGCAGGCAGAAGAAGGTGAAAAGGCTAGACTGGCTTAGCTTCCCAGCCTACATCTTTCTCCTGTGCTGGATGCTACCTGCCCTTGAACACCTGACTTCAAGTTCTTTAGCTTTGGGATTCAGACTGGCTTCCTTGCTCCTCAGCTTGCAGAGAGCCTATTGTGGGACTTTGTGATTGTGTCAGTTAATACTCCTTAATAAGCTCCACTTTATATATATATCATATATATGTCATATATATATGATATATATATAAATTAAACAATTAGTTTAATTATTTAGTTTAATTATTAGTTCTGTCCCTCTAGAGAACCCTGACTAATACAGGTACCATACTGATGGGTTTGGTGAGTTTTTTTTGAGACAGGGTCTCACTCTGTCACCCAGGCTGGAGTGCAGTGGTGCAATCACTGCTCACTGCAGTCTTGACCTCTCAGGCCCTAGTGATCCTCCCACCTCACCTCCTGAGTAGCTGCGACTACAGACATACGCCACCACGTCCAGCTAACTTAATTTTTTAATAGAGATGGGATCTCGCCATGTTGCCCAGGCTGATCAGGGAAGAAGAGGGCGGGAGTAGGAGAAGTATTTCTGAGTTGTATCCCATCCATAGATCCATAAACTTACTCCTGAGCTGAAGTGATCCTCCTGCCTTAGCCTCACTATATTGATGGTTTTAAACAGGCCATTACAAAATACTTCTTGTACAAATGAGACTCTGGATTAGATGAAATTCATGGTCATAGAGCCCCAGAAGTGGTAGAGGAAATGTACATTGTCTTGACTTTTCTTGGTCTTAAATATTAGAATGAGTTTTTATTAGCCAAATATGACCCACAATGATGATATCAGTTTAAATGATTGTTAAAGAGTAGCTACTCATTAGGAAATGGCAATTCAACATAGCATAGTTGCTGATGCAATTTCTGTAAAAACATAAATCACTTTTAATGCTTACATCTCAATACATTGAGCATTCTCAGAAAACACTGTTGCATTGACAAAGTGTAAAAAAGAAAGGTAGATATGCTTAGCAATGCAAGCACATCATGGAGGTCATAAATAGAGGGGTAGGAAGCTTCCTTAAATGTACCACGTTTTAGTGTTTGTTAAACACTTTGGGAAGATAGAACTCTATAGAGTAGGTTAAGTATCTCATGATGTCTTTCAGAGCTTCCATTACATTTCTTGCTAATTTATTCTAGAATTAAAATGAGCTGAGGTAAAGTTAAAAGGCCACCTGTTTTTTTTCTGTTTGTTTTTACACATTATCCGTAAGTGTATTTTGAAGTAGAAATACCTGATAAATAAAATATTTAATTTATAAAGGGCTAGATAAGGGAGAAATTATTCAAATTATTTAAAAAACTTATTTGTTTTTATAGAGGATTAATTACAGATTCTTTGAAATAGCAATGTTGCCAGCACACTTTAATTATTTGATTTATAAACATGTAGTTTGACATGAAACTATATTTATACACATGTAATTCTGACAATTTTTCAGAAACAAATCCACTGTATTATGCACAATAAGCTTGTAAGCATATAGATGTAAACTTACTCATTCTATACTATTCTTTTTTATCCTGACATTTTACTTGGCATTATAAAAAGATAACAGCTAAGAATTTTTGTTGAATACCTATTGTGCGCCAGATATGATTCTAGGTGCTTGAGGTACAGCAGAGGGAAATAAACAGATGAAAACCTTTCCCCTCAAGGAACTTACATTATAGTAAAGGAGACAGGCACTAACAAAGGTACAAAAGAAAAATATACCAAATTTTGATTGAGATAAGTGCTAAGGAGAAAAATAAAGCAGGAAAGGAATAAGAACAGTGTTAGCAATGTTTCAGTTACAGAGAGGACGACCAAAGGAGCCCTTTCTGTTGACAATGCTACTTGAGTGAAGATCTGAGGGCTATGAGAGTGGGCTTTGTAGGTATCAAAGAGAAAATCATTCTGAGGAACAGCAAGTACAAGCAACAGTAGACAAGTATGAATATAAGGAGCCCAGTGAATTCAAGGGAGAAGTAGTATATGAAACCAGTGACCGTATAGGTCTTACAGGCCACTGTGAAGACTCTTGCTTTACTCTGAGTGACTTAGGGAAGATTGGAGGATTCTGAGTAACAGAGTGACATTATCTATCATATAATTTAACAGGGTCACTCTGGCAGCTGTTGGAGGCTAGCTCATGGGGGCAAGGGTGGAAGCAGAGAAGGGGCAATTGCAGTCAAGGTGAAATATGAGGGCGGTTCAAACCAGTGTGGTGCGAGTGGAGGTAGGGACAAGTGCTGAGATGCTAAATACATTTTAAAAGCAGAGACATCAGGATGTGCTGACTGATCAGATGTAGAATGAAAAATAAAAAGAGAAAAGAAAAAAATCAAGATGACGCTATTTTTTTTTTTTTTTTTTTGCCAGAGCAACCAAAAGAAGGGATTTGCTGTTTCCTGAGATCAGAGACTATAAAAAGGGAATACCGAGTCTCAGATACTTGTTAGCCATTCATTGAGTAGGTGGTCTGGAGTTTAGGGGAGAGGCCAGAGTTGGGGGGAACCATGAGAACAGCGGAGAACACCAAAGGTAAATAGGAAAGAGAAGAGAACAAAGGACTAAACTTTGTAGCACTCGAAAGTGAGGGAGATGAGTTGAAATTTACAAAGGACAGTGAGTTTCCTGTCCTGAGGACTAAATGAGATGATATTAGCTATTTTGGAACATTCATCATGTAATAGACACTCTGATAAATACTTAACATGCAATGCCTTTATCTCCATGAATCTACTCTTTTTTCTCTCTGTCTTTCTACCAGCGCCAATAATGTGATAGAAGCTCAAATAGTATTCATTTATTCATCAAATATTTATTATGTAATTACCATAAGCTAGGCACTCATTTGATTGCTTGAGGTTAAAGCAGCAAATTCAGCTTTCTTATTTCTTGCCGTGTCCATAACTCCTCAGTATATATCATTTTTTTTCAGTTGAATTTTTATGGTCAAATAAAAGGTAGTTTTATTTATTTTTTTCCAACTGGTCAGGTTGATCATAAATTTTATCATAGTTCATTTTTTGAAAGCCAGTTGCTTTTGTATCAGTTGCTATTTTATTACATGGATACCATTCTTTCTCAACATGTTAGCTTATTTTCAAGGTGCACGTGACTTACAGACAACCAAATATATTCTATGACAACTCACTTTCTTTCCCAGAACTACTCTGTTTCTCTGTTTCCACTGTGCCATTTGAGTTTTCAAGACATTTGTAAAGAAAAAGGATAGTGGTAATAGAAAGTCATTGGTTTATTTCACAGATGTTCATGAGAGCCTACTTTCCAGGTCTCATTCTTGGCTCTGTGATATAGTGGTAAATAACACAGGTAAGCTTTATGCTCCCACAGAGCTTATGTAACAGTGAGAGGATCAGACAAGTAAAACATGCATTTTTTTAATTGTTTGATATACTAAAGGTACTCCACGTTCTGTGTGGGGTTAAATGGGAAACAAAGGTGAAAACAAGGAGCTTAGGTAATGGTTCCTCAGAAATTGCAGACTTGAACTACATTGGCTGTTGTGGCTATAAAGAGACATGAGCAGATTAAAAATGTGATTTGGCTGTCATCCCAGCACTTTGGGAGGTTGAAGTGGGTAGATCACCTGAGGTCAGGAGTTTGAGACCAGACTGGCTAACATGGCGAAACCCTGTCTCTACTAAAAATACAAAAATTAGCTGGGCATGGTGGTAGGTGCCTGTAATCCCCACTGCTTGGGAGGTTGAGGCAGGAGAATCGCTTGAACCAAGGAGGCAGAGGTTGCAGTGAGCTGAGATTGCGCCATTGCACTCTAGCCTGGAAAACAAGAGCGAAACTCTGTATTTAAAAAAAAAAAAAAAGTGATTTGGAGGTAGAATTGAAAGGACTGTTGATGAATTGCATAATTAAGCAGTGGTAGCTCTCAAGAATGACTCCAGAGATTTTGCCTTGAGAATCTAAGTAGAAGGGTCATTTACAGAAAGGAGGAAGACTGGGGATATATAAAAAAGACTTCAGTTTAGGACATAAAATGTTTGAGTTTCTATTACACATTCAAGTGGAGATACTAAATAGACATGAATGTCTGAAATTTTGAGAAAAGATCAAGACCACACACAAATACATGCGTATGTATGTGCATGTGTATATGTGCGTGCAAGGTTTATATGTATATGTATTTGAAATGAAATCAGAAAATAATATGGTTAGAAAAGAATTCTCAGGGTTGAGCCTTGAGTCACCTAGCCTTTAATGGTTAGCCAGAAAAGGACAGATTGATTGAGAAGGAGCAGTCAACAAAGCAGGAAACAAACAAAAGAATGTGGTGTTATGAAGACTGAGAGAAAACATTTAAAGAACGAGGAAGTATTTGTCAAATACTAAAAAGAATTTAGATAAGATGTTAATGGAAAATGTGATGTTGGGTGATTTTAAAGGACAGTTGCTTTGGGTGTCATATATTGAGAGGTCTAGTAGCACGTGTCAAGTTTGCTCTTGACAATAGCACTTCCTGTTCTTCCTCTTCCCAAAAGGAAGTTTAATTGGAGTGATCTGGGAAAAACAGGAGATGAGGAAGTGGAGGAAGAGAGTAGAGGTAAAATTTTTGATAAATTTGGCTAGAAAAGGGAGCAGTAAAGTGGCAACACTAACAGGAGAAGGATATAGAGTCAAATATAAATTTTAACTTTGGGTTGAAAAGTCAGAGACAAAGCATTCCAGATGGAAATTATTAAAATCTGGGTGTCTTTGCCAAAGAGTAAGAGGGGGCAGAGCTGATGCTGTTGAAGAGAGGAAGGAGTAAAGCCATTGAGAAAACAAGAGAAAAAAGGATGAAGAGCAGTAGACAAGGGACTGGTCTCAGATAGGTCCTGAACATTACTTCCATTGTAAGAGAAAGGAAGACCAAAGATACCTGAGATTCAGTTGACCAACAGAAACAACTAACTCACCCTTCCCTGGCTGGTTCAGAATATGTAGTCGAGGTTAACATATTCAACTCTCTTCTAATGTAAACTTTTCAGCTCCACTCAGTTTTTCCTCAGCTAATAGTCAATAAGAGAAAACACATAGTGAGAGTCCTAGGAGATGTGTGTTCCTTTCAAACTTCAGCTATTGCCTCTTCCTGCCCCAACTGGCAGATTGTCCCTCATGTGTGATTTAAGATACAAAAGCTTTTCAACGTAAGCCAGAAAAAATGAGCATTTGGAGAGCATATGGCACTGCAGTAATCAATGTATAACTAACACGAGATTTTGGCCACTTTATAAAAAGACAATATATTTGAAAGAAAATGTGTCTTTACATTTGAAAGGTCAAGGTCCATTACTTTCTGCTAAATATAACCGTGAAAATGAGGACTTTAGTGATTAAATTTCTCAATCCTCTAATCTGATTATCAGTTTTGGCAGCTGTTCTTCTTAGAGCATTATGGCAATGTATTTAAATTGTAGCTATCTGTTTGCCCTATGAATGAATTATGAACTTTATGTTTGCATAGAAAAGAAAACTGATACAGCGTTGTCCAGGTACTGAACCAGGGTCATGAAAGTATATATAATAAGCTTGACTTTGGCCTCTGTTAATGTGGAAAAAAAGACTGTGTATACAGTCAGTGAGACCAGGGGATCAGGATTTAGACTGCCTGTGCTAACTGAATAGCTTTGGGAAAGTCATATATCTATCAAAAGTTTCAGCTTTCTCATTGCAGAGTAGGGAGAGTAACATATCTCCCTCAAGTCGTTATTGTGCGGGATTTAATGAGCTAATAAATTCAAGGCATAATGCAAACTTTCACTGTTATGTCCACTAGTATTGTGATTGCCAAGGAGATTTCCACATGATATACAGGGATTAGGGGAACATTCCTCTTCCTTTCTCCACTCTTGATGTGCCAGAGGCTTAGTAACCAAGGCTAGAATTTTGGCTAGGTGGTGAGGCAGCACTGAGTTGGGAGGTCTCGGATAAAAATCATCTAAAATTTGCCATAATCTTCTGGATGCCATACACAGTTAAAGATGTAGCAATCTGAGTGAGAGAAAAGATGGTCTGCATCGCAAGTAGACATAATGACACTTGAGGGAATGTACATCCAGGAAGTAGAGAAAAGTGGTTTCTGAGATTCTGCTCCTCTAGCAGAAGGCAATACTTTGTTACAACCACAGCACCTAAAATAGCCAACCAAAACAAATAGATGAAGGAATGAGTCTCTGTATTGCATAGGCCTAGAAGATATAGTGTCAGGTATGTTTGCATAGAGTGGATTTTATTTGGAATTGAGCTTTGCCTACCTTTTATTTACTTCCTCCTCTATAATCCTATACAACCTAGTACATATTTTTGATGTTGTACTAAGAACATTGTAATGTAACTGGGTTATACAGTGTTCATTCATCTACCCTATTATGTTATGAGGTCCCTCATATTTGTATCCCAAATGTCTAGCATAAAGTTTGTCACACTTCAAACATTTAATCAGCTCCCTTTAAAGTAGATTAATGAAGGAATGAACACAGTAAGAGATACGTTATATACCCTCATTATCTCTTTCTTTCTAGGGGGAAGGGGATTCATAAAATTAGGCACAGAGGATACCCCATCCTTTCATGTGGCTTCATCTTATTATATAGCACTCTCAAATGCACTCTGTGCCTGACAGAGGGTGCATTAGAATAAATGTTTCTTACATGGCCCAGCTGGTTAGAAAAATACCTAGTTGGTGAAGGAGTTGCTTAAACTTTAGCAAAACCCTCATGACCATTTACTGCTCAGAAGAGATTAACTATCTTTCTTAGCAGATGTGTAAACTCATTAGTGCCAGCTGGACTCATTTCAAGTTTTATTTTGGCAGGGCTTAAACTAAGAGGCAGCAAAAACTGTCTTTGTTTATTAAGGAGTTATCAGTGTAACTCCTTAAATACCTATGTTACATAATATGTATCCCCAAATCACTGGGCTCAATTAATTCTCATCATTCACTCATAAGCCAGACATGCTACCTCTCTCTAAGGTGTCTGAGAGAGAGGAAGACCATCTGCCACAGTCCATTTCTTAAATTCTTGGTTCACCTACCGAGACGGCAGGGCTCTCAGAGGATACAGTATCATACTCAAGGCATGGGAGGGGCTAAACAGGTCAAAATCAACTTCATTTGTTGTGGGGTCCAGGGGTGTGGTGGTGAGAAAGATCAGAGGCAGCAATCTGACACATGCAGAGGCGCTCCTGGACTCACTGCAGCTTTTGCATTTTTAAATTCTGGTATTTCATATTCTGCTTTAAGGTCTTGGTATGGTAGAAAGAACTTAGGTCTAGGTGTGATAGAAAGAATATAGGACTAAGAATCCAGAACTGTGGATTCTAGTCTCAGGTCTGCCAACAACCATGGCAGGTAAACATGACCAGATGCTTAACCTTTCTAGATCTCAGTTCACACTTGTGTAAAGTGAACATACTTATAGTTCCATTCAGCATTCAAATTACAACTCCATGCCTTATTTTTACAGAACTCCAGACTATTTTGAGCCTTTGTCTTTAGCCACAGACAATTTAACTGTCAATTGGTGTAGCAATGACAAATCAATCTGGATGACTGTTTTTCCCAGTTATCTCTAGCCTTGCACTTCCTGTTGACTTTGGACAAAGGAATTACTTTCCTCAGCCTTGAGGCAGCATTTTGGGCTAGACACTGGATTAAGGAGATAGAAGTGCTATGACATCCCTTTGGAGGCTGATTGTGGTGGTCATGTTGCTCCTTCCAAAATATTCTAAATGTAAATTCAGTAACGTCAAAGTAGTCTCCAGGAAATTCAGATTACCCTTATATTGGAAGATGTCTTTTTCATGGATATAAAAATACTCAATTATTTATGCAATTAAGAGGAATACTTTTTTTGTAATAACCTGGGTTAGTAATCTCAAACTTCTGCCAATTCCACTTCTTTAATTCTCCTTTCTCCATCTGTGGTCATAGAGGTTTTAAGGATGCACCCTGTTTGGCATAGAAAAGTAGAAGGAAACCAGCATTTCTAGAGCATCTCTCGGGACTGATTCCAACCTGCATCTACAGACCACACCACAGAAGGGTGAGAGGCCTGTTTTTGCCCCCCTCCCATTTCCACTACATGCCTTATACAGCAGCCCTGAGTGGGCTGAGGATTCTGCTCTGAAATCCCCTTGAAGCTCATTTCCCTAGAAGAGACTACCAGAAAGTGTGACAACTTCATGGGCAGAGAGGTGGTCTCTGAGCTTAGTTAAGAGAAGAGCTGACAGGAGCAAGGACATGGGCTTTAATTCTATAAGGCCATTTCATGTTGCTCTGTTTCCTGATGGGAGTTTGATGCTCCATCTCAAAATTGTGTGCCAAGGCTCTCAATGGGAAGTAGGATATGGGATGATCTGGATGAAGTTTGTGCCATTGTGTGAGGGGCTAAAACAATATCTTTGAATGCATAGGCATTTTCCATTTAATCCTCATAACACATCTGCGAGGTAGAGTTATTATGTCTATTAGAAAAGGAAACTGAGGCTCAGAGAGTTTTAAGTAACTTGTCCAATGTAGCAAGGAATAAAATCCAGGTATCCTCTGAATTCCAACTCTATTTTTCCATGGCACGATGCAATTTCCCAAAATGTCTGTCTTGATACAAAAGGGCTAATCTTTTTTTTTTTTTCTTTTTAGTCAGATTCAGAGTCTCACTCTGTCATCCAGGCTGGAGTGCTGTGGCACGACCATAGTTCACTGCAAATTCAAACTCCTGGGCTTAACCAATCCTTCCATCTCAACCTCCCATATAGCTGGGACTACAGGTGTACACAACCATGCCCAGCTAAGTTAAAATTTTTTTTTTTGTAAAGATGGAATCACACTATGTTGCCCAGGTTTGTCTCTGACTCCTGGCCTCAAGCGATCCTCCTGTCTCAGCCTCCCAAAGTGTTGGGATTACTAGCAGAAGCCATTGTGTCCAGTGGTTCATTTTTTTTTTTGTATGAGCGAAAGACAATCAAAAAGTGTCCAGCACCTGAGAACAAAGAGAAATGGCAGTAGTCAGTGCTCCATGAAAACTGAGTATCAGTCCTTGAATTTTATTTTAGTCTAAAGATATATTTAATTTTATTCAGAAGATAGATATAGGTAAGTTTGAAGTTGAGTCAACTTTTCTCCTGAATATGATTCTCGGTAAATGAGTGGTAAAATTCCCTCCCCTAATAATATTTTGAAGGAACTGGGAGGGTCTAATCTGACTTTACTCTGAATGTGTCATTCCAAAACTGGCTGTCTGTCTCAGTGGTTGGTGCATTAGAGCCAGCTCACACAGATTTTGGCCATGGGGAGCTCTGGCTCTTGGAGATCTTTTCCCACCTCGGCATTCAGTGATTCTGCAGTGGCAGCTTGAAATTGACCTTAGTGAGCACATTTACATCACAGAAATCAGTTAACTATACAAAGCATCCCCATCCCATTTATTTTTCCCTACTGGAGAGGTGATAATTAAACATTTATCCTTATAGTTTCAACTATCATTCTTAATCATAGACATCTGCTAATCAAAGCTGACAGCATTTCCAGATCAGGCTGGTTTTCCTAGGACTGTGACCTTGTAACATGACATCAGAATGACTGAAAACTGGCACAAGGATATAATGTGCAAAATACCTCAGATTATTAACCCACTTTGAGCAAGTGTGTCCTATACTTTTCAGGGCTTCCTGAAAACTTGAAAGAGAACTTCTGTAAACTACCCCCAGTATCCTCAGAAGTCAAGAATAATTATTTACTTGAGAATGTTGAATACAACAAGAGAAAAGGGGAAGGGAAGACAAGTATATTAAAATGTCTTCAAAAATATCTTTAATATTTTATGTAAAATTTCACTGTAGGTAATTGTTTGTATTAAAAAAAAAAGTGGATCACAAGCTAATATGTCAAAGGAACAGGGAACTTTAATGGATGCACTGACATTAGGAAATGTGTGGGAATACACTGATCTGGTCAAATCTTCAGAACTCCCCAAGGCTATCTCTCTGGGCTGCTATGGTTCTTCTCCAAAAACATAGATACATACAAAAACATAGCTTCATACATGCTTGGTTGGGGTGTAAAATGGTACAATCATCTTGAAAAAATCCTTTGGCAGTGTCTAACATTTCTAAGTATTTTATCCAAGAGTAATAAAAATTGCAGGTCCACACAAAGCAGCTTTTTTCATAAGAGCCCCCAAACAAACTAGAAACAACACAAATTCCAGTAATAAGACATTTGTGATATATTAGAATATTACTCAATGATTTAAAGGAACAGACTATTGATACACACAGCAACATATTTATACATTGTGGGATATTCATACGTTTTGGTAAATTCATACCTTGGACTACGCAGGAATTAAAAGAAACAGACTATTGATGCAGTGACCTGGGCGTATCTCAAAAACAGGAAGTGTGAGAAAGAAATACTACACAGTGAATACTTTATAATTCCGTTTATATGAAATTCAAGAATAGGCAAATCTAATCTATGGTAATCGAAATGAGAAGAGTGTTTGCCCCTGGCCTAAGGATGGAAGGATTGATTTAGGAAAAAGTCTGCAGGAGCTTTCTGGAGTGATGGAAATGTTCTAACTCTTTTTTTTTTCTTCTTCTTCTTCTTTTTCTTCGTTTCGAGACGGAGTTCCACTCTGCCGCCCAGACTGGAGTGCAGTGGCGCCATCTGGGCTCACTGCAGCCTCCGCCTCCTGGGTTCAAGCCATTCTCCTGCCTCAGCCTCCCGAGGGGCTGGGACTACAGGTGCCCGCCACCACGCCCGGCTAATTTTTTGTGTTTTTAATAGAGACGGGGTTTCGCCATGTTGGCCAGGCTAGTCTCGAACTCCTGATTTCAGGTGATCCACCCGCCTTGGCCTCCCAAAGTGCTGGGATTACAGGCGCGAGCTACCGCGCCCAGCCAAAATGTTCTAATTCTTTATTGGTGGCTACACAGTTGTCAAAATTTATCAAACTGTCCACCTACGATATATTATAAGCCTGTATTAAATGTAAATTAGAACTCGATTGAAATCTGTGTGTATAAATATAAATATACACTTATTTACATTTCTAATCTAATCTGAAGGTCCATTGCAACGAATCCCGCTCCGCTCTGACCCAAGAACTCCGCACTTTCTCTCCACCAGCCTTTCAAATACCTGAACTTCATGCCTTCAAGAGGTGGATTCCGGCTTCTTTACAGCGCAATCACTAGCAGGTCATTTCCGTCTAGCTTGCAGATTTCCCATTACTGACACAAACGCTCCCTCAGGGCGTCCCCGTCTGGACTACAGGAGAAAGTTTGGGAGGCAGGTTCAACTTTTCAACTTGGCGGGGAATTCCTCTCCCTCTTACACAGTTTGCAGCGCGGGGGCGGCGGGGTGACAGTCCCCGTGCATGAATCAGCCACCCCTCAGGCTCCGCCCCGGCGGGGGTCGGCCGGACGCTCGCCCCGCATAAAGCGGGCACCCGGGCCGCCTGGAGCAGAAAGCCGCGCACCTCCTCCCGCCAGGCGCTTTCTCGGACGCCTTGCCCAGCGGGCCGCCCGACCCCCTGCACCATGGACCCCGCTCGCCCCCTGGGGCTGTCGATTCTGCTGCTTTTCCTGACGGAGGCTGCACTGGGCGATGCTGCTCAGGAGCCAACAGGTATCTGGCCGCTCCAGGAGCTTCTCTCCCCAACCGGCGGAGAGGGCGCAGCGGGCCATGGGGCCCCGTGTAGGCGCCCTCCAAGCCTCGCTTTCTCCAGGTCCCTGCCGCGCGCTCCGCTGGCAGGGGGGACTCGCTCCCAAGTTTGCACTTTCTCTGCAGAGGCCCCTCCGCTCGGAAGGGGACAGAACTCCCCGGGATGTTCTTTCCTCCTAGGAGCTACGCCTGACCACTTTCCCTCTCTTTTGCTCTCCTTCTGCCCCTTCTTCAGGAAATAACGCGGAGATCTGTCTCCTGCCCCTAGACTACGGACCCTGCCGGGCCCTACTTCTCCGTTACTACTACGACAGGTACACGCAGAGCTGCCGCCAGTTCCTGTACGGGGGCTGCGAGGGCAACGCCAACAATTTCTACACCTGGGAGGCTTGCGACGATGCTTGCTGGAGGATAGAAAGTAAGTGCCCTGCGCGCACCCAGGACTCTCGCGCTCCTTGCGCCGGCGGCTGGTAGCAGCTTCGCCAGTTTCCCACGTCTCGCTTTCTACAGGAAGTTTTAGCCTGGGTTTTCTCAAGTGTTAAGCAAACCTCATGGTTTTCAGTTTCTTAAAAGTAATCACAAATTTACAACCACTAACACATTTCCTGTCTCCCAACTGACATT
Organism: Homo sapiens; assembly: GCF_000001405.40. Classification (NCBI taxonomy): domain Eukaryota; kingdom Metazoa; phylum Chordata; class Mammalia; order Primates; family Hominidae; genus Homo; species Homo sapiens. Next base: position 93,889,930 of record NC_000007.14, on the reverse strand, counting down.
GATCATAATTCAGTGCCTGTGCGGACTCAGGGAAAGATTTGTTCCCTCACCATGGGGTATAATAAATGCAAGAGAATAACGTGTTAGGTACAACGTAAGTGCTTCTCTGTATTTTTCATTAATTCCAAACCTATGATTTTTATCTCTCCTGGAGTACATCATTTCCTTCTGTCGATTATCCATCAATCTGAAATATTTTTAGTGGATTTTATTATTGAAGTGTGACTTAGCTCATTATATAACTCTACTTTTGTCCCGATACCCAAACATGTGTTGGATTAGTTGCGGGACATGGTGGAGATTCATAATACTGTTATATTTTAATTTATTTTTAATTTTTAAATTATATCGGTTAAGGCCTGTAAGAGAACATGGGGCTTTTCCATTCAAGGAACTGAGCCAGGGGAAAATGCGTATTCATGTGAATAAGCTTTGATTCACTGCATATGTACAATCAGAGAACACCCAGAGAAAACAGAGAGTCTTTCTACTGAACTTGAAAGATACATCACAGCTGAGTCAGCTCTGAATACACTGTTAGAAAAAAAAAAAGTAAATATCTGGATTCATGGGAGTATTCTGGGTATTTACTATCCCAACACTAATACAACTTCTCTCCCCCCACAAAATGTTGCTGAAAATACAGTGATGGTTTAATAAGAAGGCTACTTTTGACTAACATTGTTCTATTACCCTCCTTTTCCTAGAAGTTCCCAAAGTTTGCCGGCTGCAAGTGAGTGTGGACGACCAGTGTGAGGGGTCCACAGAAAAGTATTTCTTTAATCTAAGTTCCATGACATGTGAAAAATTCTTTTCCGGTGGGTGTCACCGGAACCGGATTGAGAACAGGTTTCCAGATGAAGCTACTTGTATGGGCTTCTGCGCACCAAAGAAAAGTAAATACGATTTTTATGGTATTTCTATTTCACTTTTTTGAAAAGACATTTGGGTGGAAAAAACTCAATTTGATGCGAAATTAACATGTGCATTTTCATGATTTCACATTACTTGACAAGTTAGTGACTTGTCAAGTTCTTAGGACTGGAAAGTGACAAAGCCATGATTCAAATTTTTGCTTTCTGCCTCTTCTGATTTGTTGTTTTTGAGACGGACTCTCGCCCTGTTGCCCAGGCTGGAGTGCAGTGGCACAATCTCGGCTCTCTGCAACCTCTGCCTCCCGGGTTCAAGCGATTCTCCTGCCTCAGCCTCCTGAGTAGCTGGGACTACAGGCGCCCGCCACCATGCCCAGCTAATTTTTTTTTTTTTCTTCTTTCTCTTTCTCTTTCTTTCTCTCCTTCCTTCCTTTCTCTCCTTTCTTTTTCTCTTTCTTTCTTTCTTTCTCTTTCCTTCCTTCCTTCCTTCCTTCCTTCCTTCCTTCCTTCCTTCTTTCCTTCCTTCCTTCCTTCTTTCTTTCTTTTCTTTCTTTCTTTCTTTTTTCTTTCGACGGGGTGTCACCGTGTAAGCCAGGATGGTCTTGATCTCCTGACCTCATGATCTGCCCACCTCGGCCTCCCAAAATGCTGGGATTACAGGTGTAAGCCACCACGCCCAGCCCTGAATTGTTTCTTTAGAACTATTTCTCAGCTACTCAATTTATGCATAAAAGATTAAAGTATTCATTAATGAATGTTATGACCTCAGATTTGTACACAATAAGTTATACATGTGAGATAGTGGAATATATACAGAATTAAGATGGTGAAACTTGAAAATTTCTTTCTAAAGTTTTCGGTTAGATTTCTGTATTCTTCAGTAATTGCAAATTGCAGCACAAACATCTCCACACGTTTCTGTCCTATCCATTTGTTACCTCTCCCACCACCACCCCTGAATCCTTGAAATGATAGTCTCTTGAGTAGTATTTAATGTTTGCAGAGGGAGACAATACAGGCATTTCCCCCAGACACAGAGATTTTTGAAAAGTTCAACAAACAAGGAAAACTTGCTTTGGCAGAGAATTTGATAAAGCTTTATAGCTGTACTGTGTTGAATATGCAAAATCTTGAGTTAATGTGGTGATGGTTACTGTGGATGTTCTCTTGTTTGTGTACATATAAATGTTTGCTCCAGTGGTTACCTGGAAATTAGTATGCATATATTATTGATTAATAATGGAATGAGAGCTGTTAAAAACATTAAAGCAAAACTACCAACACGACAAAATTTACCAAATCATGCCACATATTGTCCTTGAAACTTACCCCATTTTTACCTAACCATATCTGGTATTTGGGTTTAACTTCTTTTTACATTTAAAGGATACAAAGATGTAGCTTCAGAAGAAATTCTATCCAGTTTACAAAAATTTAGAATTACCAAAATATAGCATGTAAGCTTACCTGCAATTTGAAGCACATCTTTTTAAAGGTTTAGTATGATATTTTGGATTCAGACTGAGGCTTCTATGGGATTAGATTTTCTTCAGTTACTTCAGTAATCACCATAATTTAAAAATTCTGGTATTATAACATTTCTAATTTTCTTCTCTTTTTTATAAAGTTCCATCATTTTGCTACAGTCCAAAAGATGAGGGACTGTGCTCTGCCAATGTGACTCGCTATTATTTTAATCCAAGATACAGAACCTGTGATGCTTTCACCTATACTGGCTGTGGAGGGAATGACAATAACTTTGTTAGCAGGGAGGATTGCAAACGTGCATGTGCAAAAGGTAGTGAATGTTTTCTTATTCCACCTTTAGATAAACTTTATAAATAACTTATCAGAAAAATTATATTTTTATTTATCCATTTTACTAATAGCAAATTGCTGTTTCTAGACTACTTCTACATAAGTATCTCCGTAGTGTTAATCAGTTTTGTCAAAATGCTTTTACTGGCTAGCTGCAGTAGACGGTAGCTGTATCTTCATATCTTAAAGGTAAAATATTATTAACTGAGTGTATAATGAGTTTTGACTTCACAGTCCTTAAAAATAAGATGAAGTGAGCTCAATAACCTTATCAGAAATAGTGATTTATAGTGAGCCTACAGACTGGAGATGTATGATTTTCATTGTCGTTTTATTGATTTTAGCTTTGAAAAAGAAAAAGAAGATGCCAAAGCTTCGCTTTGCCAGTAGAATCCGGAAAATTCGGAAGAAGCAATTTTAAACATTCTTAATATGTCATCTTGTTTGTCTTTATGGCTTATTTGCCTTTATGGTTGTATCTGAAGAATAATATGACAGCATGAGGAAACAAATCATTGGTGATTTATTCACCAGTTTTTATTAATACAAGTCACTTTTTAAAAAATTTGGATTTTTTTATATATAACTAGCTGCTATTCAAATGTGAGTCTACCATTTTTAATTTATGGTTCAACTGTTTGTGAGACTGAATTCTTGCAATGCATAAGATATAAAAGCAAATATGACTCACTCATTTCTTGGGGTCGTATTCCTGATTTCAGAAGAGGATCATAACTGAAACAACATAAGACAATATAATCATGTGCTTTTAACATATTTGAGAATAAAAAGGACTAGCAAATAAAACTCATTTTGCATTTAAAAGTTGGATTATATTTTAGTCCCAAGAAGACAAAGTCGCAGATTAACAACACTTTAAAAATATTACTCCCATTTTATTGTGTTAGATTGCAGTACAATGAATGAATAAGGGGATTTATTTAAAAGATCTTAACTTTCTTGACTGATTTAAAAAGCTAATCAATTTATTAAAGCCAGAAATGTTCTCCTCTGGGAAAGCAATTTCTATCTATTTATCTACCAATCCCCACTCACATGTATATGTTTGTGTTTACATAGAGATAGATGGTTTTAAGGGTTTTCCTATTGTTAAATTATTTCCTAAGACATTGTGGGTTGGAGACCACTAAACTTATAAAAAACCAAGGAAAGTAAAGTTTTTCAAATGTTTATACTGTTTAAGGTGTTTATTTATATAAACCATGCATGAGAAACCATGCATAAATTTAATAATTTAAATTTCACCAGTAAATTATCATTGATTAAATATGGTCATACCAATGAAATAGGTTTTTTCTTTCTCTGTAATAAAACAATTTTTCTAAATTCTTATGTTTTCATAGCAAGATTAACATATTTAATTACAAATTAAATATGCAAAATGACAAATGCGTTTACCTTTTGCTTGAACAATCTTTCATTTAAAAATTTATCCCAGTTATTTTGACAAATAGGTATATGCCTGAGAACTTTGAATGATGCTGAAAGCTAGAAGCAAACCAGGTACTCTTCAGTCAGGGACTGGTTGAAGATTTTATGGATGAGGAGTTAGCAAAATATCTATATATGCATATCTTCTGACTCCCAGGATACATAAGAAACACAGGGCCTAGAACAGTATGAATAAACACACATATACACAAACATCACAGAAGATACTAAAGATATTAAAAATGTTTACCTATAGAGGTTTGGAGAGAACAGAGGGGTGGACAGTTGTGGAGATAATATTTGTGTAAATATAACTGTGATATAGTTTTTATCTTGGACCATGTAAATATTTGACATAATTAATAATCAAAATTAAATAAAAAAGAAAAAGCATTTCTTTAAGCATTCAAACCCAACTGAATACCAAATAGTGGCAAAACTACACAAAAGATATATACTTATTTTCAATGACTTCACAAATTAATATGAGAATGTCTTTTGGGGAATATAAAGGTGAAAAAATTCTGAAGAAATCTCAAAATGCATTTTTAAATTTGTTATTACTTTTTATTTGAATAGTTTTGGAGTTACAAGTGGTTTTTTATTACATGGATGAATTATATTGCAGTGAATTCTGAGATTTTAGTGCACTGTGAAAATGCATTTAGTAGTCTCATTGTTAATGGTAATACTGGTGTTATTTTGAACCTATTGTATCTAGAATACTATGTTGTAAGAAAACAAGTAGTTACATTTCTTTAGAAGTCAGGATTTTCAGTGTTAAGAGAAAATGAGATACAAGTATACAATGAAAGAAATTAAGTAAAAATCTTTGACTTAAATTGGAATTAGAAATATTCATATAAATTAATAACTGATTTTCTCTATCAAAAAATCTGTATTTCCCACTTTTCCATTGAAAAGTCCTTGAAGTAATGACAACTCAGTAGCAGTAGTTACAATGAACATCAAGACTGTGGTCTCTCCATACTATTACTCACTGGTTCCTAAGAACCAGTGCTCTTAGGAGAATAGCTGAATCCAGGTCTGGGGCAGGAAATATGTAAAATAAACTTGGGCCATCTTACTCCAGAAATCAAGGAAGCTATCAAAGACTAATGAATCATGTCACAAAAACGGGAGCAATATTAAGGAGCTCCCACTAACCTAAAATGAGACAATATGGCCATCAAAACAAATAATGACCACAATGTATATAAATATATAGAAATCTGAGTTTATGATTATATACACACACTCACCTCCTTGGTACCTTTTGGAGGTTTCTAGGGCATTATCTCATTCATTTGAAAACGATGAATTAACAGAAAGAATAAAGCATTTATCCTTTTTTTGTTTATTTTTTAAAAACTGTACCACAGGGAAAATAGTATATGGATGTCATTCATAGAATTCCACCTAATACATGCATTAAAATGTTAGAAAATACTCCTAACAAAAGTATGAATATAGGCATCCCTCACCATTGGGTGCTGAAACAATTGTATGAAAAGTTTTTGGGGACAGTCTCATGGGAAATCAGGCTAATGTCTCTGAACTCACAGATCATTTTGACATCCATAATAGTTTAGTCATAGACATTATTTGCTTCCTGATATGATACAATAATAAGTGCACCCTCCCCATCAAGTATTTTTGGAGAAATAAAACACAGTAAACCCAAAGATAGTCAAGACTGTAGATATCACTATCATATTGCCAGATTATAGAGAAATACTGGGGATATGGGAACAAGTTAAAAGAAACCAAGGAAAGTAAATCCATAATGTTGGGCACTCTACAGGACAAATACCTTGGTTTCTCCATACAAGTCAATAAAAATTTTTAAAAATGGCAGAGAGGAGGCAGTGCTTTAAGAAAAAATAATAGATAGCAATGACAAAAAGCAGCATGCCATTAAACGGTTGGTTAAGGCCTGAATTTATGACTGTTTTTGGTGGGAATAATTATAGGAGAAGGATCTTGTGTGTGTTATGGAGGTGAAGAGTGAGTGATTCAGAGCCTTTGAGGATTCTGGGGGCTCCTAGTAACCCCAAAGGGAAGCTGGATTTGGTATTTGCTCCCTTCGTCTCCCATGTAGCCAAAGCTCTTAGGGGATCATGGATCCAACTCAGCCTACATTTGCACCTCTTTGATCAGCATGGGTAGGAAGTAGATATTTTGGATAAAATTATTCTAATGCCCTATTACCTCTGCCATGTTAGTTTAATTAAGAAATATATAAAGTGGTCACAAGACATTCTGCAGTCAAGGGAAAATTCCTCCTTACCACAATCAATGTGAAGGCAAATCACAGCTGTGGTTAAAAGGAATGTCTCATTCTGTGACACAAAAAGTCAAAATAGAAATGGGATGGCTTTTAATAAGACAGTATTTTTAAAATTACCCTGGACTATCACTCATGTGTCCCCTGTGCACACACATTGTCACAATATTTAACCATAGAAACTGCAATGGAGGCCTCCAAATTGCCTGGATCACAGCACCCCCAAGTGTGCATGCTGTCTCCCCCAACAGTCGTGTTAGACTTTTAGCCAACAATCTTATCCAATCAGAGAATATCCTATGGAATGTCTGTCCATATATTGTAATAATGTCTGTAGACATTTTAGCTCTGTTGCATCTAGAGATAAATCTCTAGGGTGTCCCCAAGGAGTTGACCTAAAATAATCAATGTGAGAAGGATGTCTCTTGATCCTTCATCAGCCTTCTTATGACCTGATGGACTTACTGCAGTGGCAGGAACTTATCTTTATAAGCTTCATGTTTCCAGTAAAATTTAGGTCCTGTGATTAAAAATAAGGAAAAGTAGAAAAGTACAGAGTTGTAGCTTTAAAATATCTTTTGCCCCTATATATTGTTATAAACTTACATATGGAAGCAGGCAAACATGGGTATCAGAATCATCCAAAATTATTTCTTCTCCCTTCATCCACATAATCAATTATTCACCAAGTGTACCTAAGTAAGCCTTTCCTAATCCTCTTCTTATACCAGAAAAATTAAAACACTCCAGAGTTTTTCTTCCAATCTATGTCTGCCTCATATACAGTCATCCACACTGATGCCAGGGTAATCCTGGAAAAAAAAATATGATCAGGTTACCCCTTTGCTTAAAACTCTTCAGTGGTTTCCTGTGGAATCTTCACATACTGTCCAAGCCCCTTGTGTGTCATTTAAGAATTCTTATGCATGTACCATAACATTCTTTTCTTTTCCAGATTCATCTCTTATTATCTGTAACCTGTAATACAGTTGCACTAAATTATCTGCAGTTTCCAAAGCATGTCATACTGCTTTACTTTTCTACAATGTGGTTCTGAAATTTTGTGCATGAGAACCATCTGTAGAACCAGGTACACAGCAGGCTTTTATGCCCTGTGCCCAGGGGTTTTTACGTAGTGGGTTTGAGTTGGCACTCAAAGATGCACATTTTAAACAACAACTCCAGATGATTAGGATGTACATCCTAATCATCATCGCACTTTAAGGAATTTACATCGCACTTTACATCGATGTTACATCGCACTTTAAGGAACACTTTTTTTAAGCCTTACCATAAGTTTCTTTCTTTGAAAAAAATATCATTCCCTCCTTGCAACTATTTGGCAAGTTGAATCTTCTCCTTGTTGATGAGGTATTCCTTGCCCAACCTGAAGCAGGTTTAATCATTTATCCTATGGGCTTGCCTAAACCTGGAGCAACTTCCTAGTTGTACTATTGCAGTATTTAATTATTTTCCTTGAAGTTTTATTCTTAGGAGATCTAAGTTTTTTCATGTAAAATTAATGTTATTTTTTTCATTTCAAAATATATTATTAAGCTAATTGTATACTGTATAGAAAATAAAATACATAAGGTTAAAAATAAAAGCAATGCAGAATTTTACCACCAAGTGATTAATAACTCCATTTCTGATCTCTTAAGGTGGAAATAACTTAGTAAAGAGATATACACGTTTTAATGTCCTTAGTTTATACTGAGAAAGTGCATTACAAATTATATCAATCTATCCCCAACTAAAAATATATGAAAATGGCCAATACATTAGGTATAAACAGAAAAATATTAATAAATCACTTCATTTTAATAAAATGGTATTTTATTTTATCATTGTTTTATTTGGTATTTCCAAGATTATTACAAACGTTGAACTTTTTTAATTGTGTAAATTTAAGGTGTACAAAATGGTATTTTGATATACATATTTATAGGGAAATTACTACTACAGGTAAGCAATTTTAACATGTCCATCATGTTCTATAGTTGCTAGTTGCTCTTTTCTATCTTTACTTTTTGGCAAGAGCACCTAAAATCTACTCTTGAGCAAATTGTCAACATGTAGTATTAATAACTGTAGTCTTCCTGCTGACATTAGATCTCCAGACTTATTTATCTTAACATAACTGCAAGTTGGTACCTTTTAATCAACATTGTCTCATTTTTCTCCCCTTCCCTATCCCTGGTAACCACTACTCTACTGTTTCTATATATTCAACTGTTTTTTTTTCATTCCACACATAAGTGAGATTGTGCAGTATTTTTCTATCTGTATCTGGCTTATTTCACTTAGTATAGTACCCTCCAGATTCATACTTGTTGTTGCAAATGGCAGTATATCCTTTTATAAGACTGAATAATATTTTATTGTATATATACATGTGTATGTATATATGTGTAAGTGTATGCCTGTATGTGTATACATATCTCACAACTTCTTTATCTACTTATTCATGGATGGGCACTTAGATTGTTTTCCTATCTTGGCTATTGTGAATAATGCAGTGAACATGGGAGTGCAGATATCTTTCTGAAGTACTGACTTCATGTGTTTTGTGTATATCCCCAGAAGAGAGATTGCTTGGTCATATGGTGGTTCTATTTTCATTTTTTTGAGGAACATCCATATTATTTTCTACTATGTCTGTACCAATTTAAATTCCCAACAGTATACAAGGGTTCCCATTTCTTCACATCCTTCCAAACACCTCTTGACTTTCTGATAATAGCCATCCTAACAAGCATAAAGTGATATCTTTATTTATTATGGTTATTTTTTAATTAAAAATTTTTTTTAAAGTCCAGGGGTACAAGTGCAGGTTTGTTACATGGGTAAACTTGTGTCATGGGGGTTTGTGGTACAGATTATTTCATCACCCAGGTATTAAGCGTAGTACCCATTAGTTGTTTTTGCTGATCCTCCCCTTCCTCTGCCCTACATCCTCCAAAAGGCCCCAGTATGTGTTGTTCCCTCTGTGTGTCTATGCATTCTTATCATTTATCTCCCACTTATAAGTGAGAACGTGGTATTTGGGTTTCTGTTTCTGTGTTAGTTTGCTAAGGATAATGGCCTCCAGCTTCATCCACGTCCCTGGAAAGGACATGATCTCATCCTTTTTTTATGGCTGCATGGTATTCCATGGTGTATATGTACCATATTTTCTTTATCCAGTCTATCACTGATGGGCATTTAGGTTGATTCCATGTCTTTGCTATTGTGAATAGTGCTAAAGAGCTTCTGCACAGCAGAATTGATATCTTATAGTGGTTTTGATTTGCATTTCCCTCCATAGTTAATGATGTTAAGCACATTTTTATATTCTTGTTGGCTATTTTTATGTCTTCTTTGGAAAAATGTCTGTTTAGCTCTTTTGCCCATTTTTTACTAGGTTATTTGGTTTTTGTTTTTACTATAGCTTTGAGTTGTTACATATTTTGGATATTAACCCCATGAAGTATATGTTTCACAAATATTTTCTTCCCATCTGTAGGCTTACTTTTCATTTTGTTGATTGCTTCCTTTGCTGTGCAAAAACCTTTTAGTTTGATGTAGCACCACCTATTTATTTTTGCTTTTGTTGGTTAATCTTTTGGGTTGATGTTCAGGAAATTATTGCCAAGGCCAATAGCAACAAGATTTTCCCCTATGTTTTCTTCTACGAGTTTTTTGTTTGTTTGTTTCTGGCCTTATGTTTAGGTATTTAATCCATTTAGAGTTGATTCTGATGTATGGATATCCAGTTTTCTCAACTCCATTTATTGAAAAAAAAACTAATCTTTCCTCATCATTTCTTCTTGGTGGCCTTGTTGGAAATTAGTTGACCACATGTGCTTGGGTTTATTTCTGGGCTGCCTATTCTGTTCCACTGGTCTATGTGTGTGTTTCATGCCTATGCCATACTGTTTTGATTACTATTGCTTTGTTGTATAATTTGAAATAAGAACATGTGATGCCTCCAACTTTGTTGTTCTTGCCTTCATTAATAGATTTACTAACTGTATTTATAGTAATAAAAATCCTTTATTGTCTTTATATGTACCTGTGCCAACATACACAAATTAATGTAATATCCTATATTAAGGGAATAAAATATAAAAATTATATGATTATCTCAATAGATGCAGAAAAATACTTAACAAAGTTCAACATGTTTTCATGATACAAACTCTCAACAAAATACATATAGAAGAAAATTTCCTCAACATAACTAAAGCCATTTATAAAAAGCCAACTGCCAACATAATTTTCTTTGAAGTTTTAAAGACCATGGATCGATTTTTCTCTTTATGTAGCCTAATCTGATTTTTATATTCATATCTGTTAAGGCATACACAATAGAAATTATATGTTGACACTACCTTTAGAGTCCAGGCTCCTTAACCTATACATGCATTTGTAACTGTATCTTACCTGTTATTTGATGCTAAAAGATGGAAAGGTTTTCCTCTAAGATACAGTACAAGGCAAGGTACAAAGATGCCCACCCTCTGCACTTCTATTCAACAGTTCTATTAAAATTGCTGGAAATACTAGCAAGGACAATCAGATAAGAAAAATAAATAGAAGCCATCCAAATGCAAAAGGAAGCAAAATTATCTTTGTTTGCAGATGATATGATCCTCTGTGTAGAAAATCCTTAAAATGTCACAAAAATTGTTAGAACTAATGATCGAATTCAGTAAAGTAGCAGGACACAAAATCAACATCAAAAATCAGTTGCATTTATTTACATCAATAATGATCTATCTGTAAAAGAAATCAAGATGGTCAGACAGTTTTTATAAGATAATCTGTGGAAAATATGTAAAACTTCTTCTGATATTATACCATTCTTGTATTTGAATGATATGACCTATTTGTATATTATTTTTTAAATGCATTGCTAGATTTTGTTGGTTACATTTTAAGTATATTGAATCTATACTCATATATAACATTGTTAGATGTATTCACAGTGAACTGCAACTTTTATCATTATGTTCTTACTATTTGTTATATTTTTCTTTTTATTGAACTATCAAAGAAGTTTTCTACATTATTTTCATTTATGTATAAAATCATTTATATATAACATTTATACGTAAAATCATTTTTATATAAAAATATACATAATTTATGAATAAATGATCTTACATTATTTCTACATTCAAGTTGTTATTGAGATTTTCTTTGTGACTTCATGTAAGATCAATTTTCATGTCCTATTAAGAAGAAATGATATTGCTTTCATTGGAATATATATTTATTATTTATACATGTTAAGTTCAATTTTACACTTATTATTTAAAATATATATACATATATCCAAATATGTATATATCTGCCAGTGCTTGTTAAAGATTACAGACTTTATATTTGAATGTTGCATCAACATTTTTCTCTGTTGCATATTTTAGGACTATTTTCATCAAATTAAACAATTGAGTTTCACTTTCTTTTTCTTACACTAGTTATACGTAAATGTTGCCTGACTTTCTGTCCATTCTAAAGTGTCTTGGATTTTCCAGGATTAGCAACAACAAGCATTCCTATGGTGCATTATGAGGGGTTTCGGCAGCTTGCTAGGTTGCTTAGTTCAAGAGCACTCTCTTCTGAGGGTGCATGGAAGTACACTGCCTTTAATAAATGATGCCTTTTTTACGAGTTGATGTGTCTTCCACTTCTATTATTTTCTTTTTTAACTTTCTATGAGATCCTTACTTTTCACCACTTTATTTCTTCTTTCCATTCACTATCAAGTCTCTTTCCAAAGGATATCTACTTTTTTTAGGTTGCCTCACACTCCACCCTAAGCAATGCCTTCTCACAAGGTTGCCACCTCTCCGGTCCTGCAATTTTCATGCCTCTCCCACTTCCCCCAATTCCTCAATAGCCATTGCTTTGGTCCACCAGGCCACACACCTTAGTTGGAGTAAGGTCTTGTCTTATCCCAAAGAAAACACCAAAGAAAAAGAGTGTTTTCCTTGGGGTAACATTATCTGTGTTTCACCAAGTCTGGGACCCTACTGCATTCTCTTCTTTTTCACATAATTTTTATATTATTTCCTCAGTTATGTGTAAATAGAAGTCTATGTTTTCTCTTTTTCTTAGTTTTGCTCTATAAGTAACTTATGGGTGGTTTTATTAAGATCTCCTGATGAATCTGTATGGTTTGGAAAGTTACGTGAAAAGATTATTATTACTGTATATATACATTATTTTCTTAGGGAAATTGGAAGTCTCAAACAACGTGTTAAAATTTTCTTTGAAGTTTTAAAGACCATGGATTGATTTTTCTCTTTTTGTAACCTAATCTGATTTTATATTCATATCTCTTAAGGCATACAAAATAGAAATTATATGTTGACACTACCTTTAGAACCCAGGCTCCTTAACCTATGCATGCATTTGTAACTGTATCTTACCTGTTATTTGATGCTAAGACACAAACTGATATGGTTCTAGACTACAGTTTTTCAATAGAGGCCAGCTGCTTCCCTCTAAGTCTAAAATGGAGGTTAATCTCATATTAATCTTGCATCGTTTGCTTAGCCAGCTCTTTTGATATTTGATAATGAAGAGGTCTGCCCTCTGTTCTTAGCCATCCTCTCCTGGGAATTTTTTATCTGAATCACTGTACTATAATTCTCATGACAAATTGATATTATGCATTGCATATTAAAATTAATCTTTCAGCTGGGCGTGGTGGCTCAAGCCTGTAATCCCAGCACTTTGGGAGGCCGAGGGAGGTGGATCACGAGGTCAGGAGATCGAGACCATCCTGGCTAACACGGTGAAACCCCTTCTCTACTAAAAATACAAAAAAAAAAATTAGCCGGGGGCGGTGGCGGGCACCTGTAGTCCCAGCTACTCGGGAGGCCGAGGCAGGAGAATGGCATGAACCTGGGAGGCGGAGTTTCCAGTAAGCCGAGATAGCGCCACTGCAGTCCAGCCTGGGCGAAAGAGCAAGACTCCGTCTCAAAAAAAAAAAAAAAATTAATCTTTTAGGATAACTTTATTTTTACTTGTAAAATACAAATTCTTTTTTCACATAGAGTTCTTAGCTATAGGTTTTCATTTTAAAAATATAGTCTCAGTCCTTTTTTATTTATTGAGTCCATTAAAGGTAGATAAATGTTAGTATATCATCAGTTTAATTATTACATAGTAAAAACAAATGTGTTTCGAATACAGTCTACAGTTTTAAGTGAGTAAGCAATTTATCACTTTTTAACAATATTTCTGTCTATAATAAAATGTAAAATATTTTTTTCTGAATCTGACTTTTGTGGGAAAATGTCATTTCTCATAATTAATAATCACGGTAGTTTAACCTCAAGCTTAAGTGTTATGCTCCAAGGAGGCAATTATGTTTAAAATAAGGATATTTCAAAATTATTAAGTTAATAGTCCTAACAAATGTTAAAACAAACATTTAACTGCTAATAACAGGTATTTTCCCTTTTTGAAAAATAAGCAAATGGTTATTTATTGACTTTCTTTTTCTAGGATTTGTATTGATTTTTGCAATATTACAGTGTTTTATTTCTCTTTAAGAGTAATTTCTTAACCATATGGAAACATTCATTCAGGTTTACTTTATGATCTGTTTTCAAGTTAAAAACAATAACATCCCACTAAATGGATGTGTATAATATCTATGTTTCCTTCACAAAATGATCATTATCTCTAATGTAAGAAATTAATAATACAAAGGATACAGTTAGGGTTATATTTCTGTCTTCTCTATTTTATCACATTATTTATTATTTACCAAATTACAAACTTTTGTATTCTACCATTCTAAGACCAATGGAAGGTTTAGTACCAATGTAAGATAATGCTTTTGCTTCACTTGGATAGTTTACTTTGAGCTAGGAGACATATTTGATTACAAATGAAAGCTCTGAACATCCAGCTTTAGAGATAAGGAGAACTCTTCTCTCTGTCAATAGTACCTCTTTTTTTCTTTCATGAAATAGGATGTACTATCAAGTAATTACCTTCACCTGTGGGAAGTTTTACTCCTCTGTGCTGTGATAGGGTTGTTTTGCTAAGCCACTTCTCTAAATCAGCTGGTCCTTCAGAGGAATGTAGGCCCACCTTGAATCCATATTCTCCCTGGTATTTTGCTGCCAAGATGTTCCTCATTCAGACACATCTGAGCCTTATCAGCTCACTCACAGCCACCATCTTCTGAGATATGTCTTGGAGGTGCTAAGTCTGAGAGGAGTCATGTTTTGATCACAACACCTATAACCCTTGCCCTTTTGCCTGTGTCAGTAATTTCCCAGGATTCCATGTTTTATTTGTTAAGCCTTGTGGATATAAAAGGCTGACAGTCTTTCCCTGCAGTGGGGTTAGGCCCAACATTATAAGGATGGTTGCAATAAATCCATGGTTCTCATTCCTTTCCAGGACTGGCAACTGGAATACCTACCTGCATTCTTCAAACACAAGTTCTCTTTACTGTCTTAAAGGTGAAGAAAGGGGTAAAACATAAATGAACATTTCTGGTAGGACACATTCTCAGAACCACATCTTTCCTGGTGTATTAGTCCATTTTCACATTGCTGATAAAGACATACCCAAGACTGGGTAACTTATAAAGCAAAAGAGGTTTAATGGATTCACAGTTCCACATGGCTGGGGAGGCCTTGCAATCATGGTGGAAGGTGAAAGGCATATCTTACATGGCGGCAGGTAAGAGAGACAATGAGAGTCAAGTGAAAGGGGTTTACCCCTACAAAATCATCAGATCTTATGACACTTATTCACTACCATGAGAACAGATATGGGAAACTGCCCCCATGATTCAGTTATCTCCAACTGGGAGATAATTGCACTACCCTAGCAGAGGTTCTCCACGAGGGCCCCACCCCTGTAGCAAACTTCTGCGTGGACATCCAGGCATTTCCACACATCTAGATGGAGCTTCCCAAACCTCAATTCTTGACTTCTTTGTGCCCACAGGCTCAATACCCCATGGAAGCTGCCAAGGCTTAGGGCTTACACCCTCTGAAGCCATGGCCTGAGCTGTACCTTGTCCCTTTTAGCCATGGCTAGAGCTGCTGGGATACAGGGCACAAAGTCCCTAGGCTGCACACAGCAGGGGGGCCCTGGGCCTGCCCTATGAGACCATTATTTTCCTTCTAGGCCTCTGGGCCTATGATGGGAGTGGTTGCCTTGAAGGTTTCTGACATGCCCTGGAGACATTTTCCCTTTTGTCTTGGTGATTAGCATTTGGCTTCTCATTTCTTATGCAAACTTCTGCAGCCAGCTTGAATTTCTCCCCAGAAAATGGATTTTTCTTTTCTATTGCATCATCAGGCTGCAAACTTTCCAAACTTTTATGCTTTGTCACCTCTTGAATGCTTTGGTTCTTAGAAATTTCTTCCACCAGATACCTAAAATCATCTCAAGTTCAACGTTCCATAGATCTCTAGGGCAGGGGCAAAATACCACCAGTCTCTTTGCATAGCAAAGACCTTTACTCTAGTTCCTAATGAGTTCCTCATCTCCATCTAAGACCACCTCAGCTTGGATTTTATTGTCCATATCATTATCAACATTTTGGTTAAAGCCAAACACAGCTCTAGAAAGTTTCAAACTTTTCTACATCTTCCTGTCTTCTGAGCCCTCCGTCTCCAGGAAGTTCCAAATTTCCCACATTTTTCTATCTTCTTCTGAGCCTTACAAACTGTTCTAACCTCTGCCTGTTACCCAGTTCCAAATTCACTTCCACATTTTTGGGTATCTTTACGGAAGTTCCTCACTACTGCTACCAATTTACTGTATTAGTCCATTTTCAGGTTGCTGACAAAGACATATCAGAGACTGGATAATTTATAAAGAAAAAGAGGTTTAATGAACTCACAGTTCCACATGGCTGGGGAGGCCTCACAATCATGGTGAAAGTGAAAGGCACATCTTACTTGGTGGCAGGCAAGAGACAATGAGAGTGAGATGAAAGGGGTTTCCACTTATAAAACCATCAGATCTTGTGAGACTTATTCATTACCATGAGAACAGTATGGGGGAAACTGCCCTCATGATTCAGTTATCTCCCATTGGGTCCTTCCCACAACACATGGTAATTATGGGAGCTAGAATTCAAGATGAGATTTGAGTGGGGACACAGCCAAATCATATCACCTGGGTACATTACTTTTCATTCAAATATTTAATATTTAAGATATAACTTTCATTAGTTTAATGTTTTATTGTTTTTGTTAATAGAACTGTTTTGTAAACTATACACTCTGGTGATTGCTATGAAATAAGAAAGCTATGTTTTTGGCCTAATTATCTTCTGATTAGCCAAATAGTAAACTTTTCTTATAAGTTATATTTCTCTTTCAGTTTTTTCTTAGTGTTTCCATAGGCAGAGTTGCAAATTTTGCAAATAACAATTGTATCTCCTGTTGGCAATATCTCAACTCCTTATTCTTTTTTCTTTGTCTTGTCACATTGGCTGAAATTTCCAGAAATAATGGTACATAATAATGGGGAAAGTATTTTTGTTTATTCTTGACTTTTAGAAAAATACTTTTTATGTCTTATAGCTAACTATGCCATTGGTCACAGGTTTAAAATAAAAATTACTTATCAGATCAATGATGTATAATAATGTTCCTAATTTGCTAGGAGGTTTTTCCTTAAATCAAGAATAGCTCATGAATTTAGATAGATTTTCAGCATATAAATGTGATTTCTTTTTACCTTTTGATATGACAAATCAACTAATAGATATCTCAATATGGATTTATCTATAAATTCCTCAGGTAAATTTTATATGGAGGTTAGAACTTTTAGTATAGTGCTGAGTTGAATTTGTTAATTTTTAAATAAATATGGCCTAGAATCTCAGTTTTTCTCTTCTTAATGCTCTGTCAAATTTTGGCTTTAGCCCATTGCTAGACAAAAAAATATATATATATTCTAAACATTCCATCTTTTTCTATGCTCTGGGATTGTATAATACACTAAGAATTATTTATTTGATTTTTGGTGTATTTTAATAACTCACATATTAGATTTGCTCAGTATAGTACTATTTTAGAGAAAGTTTTGTGCTAACTTCTTCCATTTTATTTATGGGTCTTTATATACTTGGTTTTGCTATGTCTTCTACAGTAGATTTTGGTGATCAATTTTTTTTTTTCTGTAAAGTAGATCAGTAGTGTTTCAAATTATGTCATACCTTGTAAATGGAATTTTTCATAATTTTATTCTGGATAATAGCTTTGTCTATTTTATTAGACTTTTAAACAAATGCTTAAACATAATTCTACTGTTTTTAAGTTTTGTTATAAGCAGATTTTAAAATTTTATCCTTTTTAAATTCACCATCTTGTTTATTTAAGTTCTCTTGGTTTTTCTCTTAGTTGAAGTGGCCTCAACTGAAAGTTTGAAATGTAATAATAAACGAGCTAAAAAAGTGGAAATATGTGGTTAAAATCAAATAAACTCATGTAATAAGCAATAATACCAATTTTATGGAGGAAGGTTAAATTATGATAGAACTAAAATTGAAAAATAATGTTTAAGTGGAAAAGAAACTGATTGTAATGAGAGATTCTAGGAGAGCAATTATATTTATTGATACTTGATTTTGTTAGGTTAAATATAATTACTAAAAGTAAGTATATATCATGTCATTTCTAAATTATTAAAGATGAAAAATAAAATTAGAATATAATCAATTCAAAAGAGGGCAAGAAAGGAGAAATAAAAGAGTCAATAGATACAAAAGCCGGGACAAATAGAAAGCACAATATAAGCTTATAGAAATAAATTTAAATATAATAGCAACTATATTAAATGCCCATGGAAGAAATTCTAAATACACATATTATTTTTCTGGAATAAATAATAAACCCTAGCTCTTTGCTGTTCAACAGAGATATATGTAAAACAAAAAACAAAAAAAAAATTGACAATAAAAGTAATTAAATACATACCAGGCAAATACTAAACCAACAAGTTGGCAAATGCCAACCATTAAAAGGCCACTAATATAGATAGAATTCCATTTAATATTCAAATTTGCAAAATAAAGTCACCAGGAAAATGTAACTATTCTGAATTTCTGTCTACCTAAGAACAGATTTTTAATCTATCTATGGATCTATCTCTAGCAAAACTAATAGAATTGTAAGGCTAAGTTAACAAATATACCACCATAGCAATAAATCTTGATACACTTCTCTCAGTAATTGATAAATCAAGACAGAAAAAAAAATCCCTAAGAGCATGTTGACTATTTAAATAACTCAAAGTTAATAGAAGTTTTATCCAATGGATACATAGAACATTGTCCCCAAACAGTAGAATACATGTTCTTCTAAAGTAAGACTCAGCAGACTTTCTTTTTTGTTTTTTTGAGACAGAGTCTCGCTCTGTTGCCCAGGCTGGAGTGCAGGGGTGCGATCTCTGCTCACTGCGAGCTCCGCCTCCCGAGTTCTGGCCACTCTCCTGCCTCAGCCTCCTGAGTAGCTGGGACTACTGGTGCCCACCACCACGCCCAGCTAATTTTTTGTATTTTTAGTACAGGCGGGGTTTCACCGTGTTAGCTAGGATGGTCTCGATCTCCTGACCTCGTGATCGGCCCGCCTCGGCCTCCCAAAGTGCTGGGATTACTCAGCTCACTTTCTCTGCAAAAACCAGATGATAAAGGCTTTCCAGGACATGCAGTCTCTGATAGGTTGCTCAATCCTACCATTGTAGTGTAAAAGCAGCCACAGACCATGTAGGGAGACCCCCTGAAACTATTGCTATGGAATAAAAGATGAAATGCTCCTGATTATTGTAAATACAAAATTGCATGCAGGATTGTGTAAAGACAATGCCAAGTTGGACTGCCAGAACAAGCCAACAGTGCGTGATGTGCTTCCACCTGCAGAGAGCCTATGAATGGACGTGCAGTCAGGGAGGTTTCACATCACCAAGATTCCTATCCCAGAAAAGCAGACGTTCATAGCTCTGGGAATGGAATGCGACCCTTGTGGAAAGCCTATAAACGGATGCATGGGGGGCGCCTGTCCATATGGATAAGATAGGGCTATAAACGGCCTCATCTTGCCACGGCTCTTCTAGGCCTCTTTAGGGTTAAAGCATACTCCCTTCTGAGAATTTCTGGTCTAACCAGTTGTCTAGCTTAACGTCCTGTTTCCGTGGATTGTTTGTAACCAGCTTTTGTTGCAATTGTTACTGCTGATTAATATCTTGCTAATCATAGGTTATGGATAGACTGTGTTTCTGTTCTAAGGCTCTGTTAGAAATTACTGACGCACACACTATATTGTAAATTCTTATCTCTGTATACTGTACTACATACAAATGTACTGTACTTCTACATACAAATGTTATGTTAAAGAATTACTTCATCCCCATGTGACCATCTCACCTCATAATCAAATGACCCTAAATCCCTCACTAACCTACCCCCGCCCTCACTAAACTTAATAATAAATGCTGGTATATCCAGTGCATTGTTGGCACCGTGGGACCAGAAGGCGGTGACCCCCCTGTACCCAGCTTTCACTATCTTGTGTGTGTCTATTATTTCTCAACCTGCCGATCCGCCTAGGAGCAAAGAGAGAGCCCCGTTGCATTGTGGGCTGCTGGCCAGATCCCACAATAAAACCATACATAAATAAATATATGTGGCTATGTTTCAATAAAACTTTATTTACAGAAGCAGGTGTCTGGCTAGATTTAGACTGTGGGCCATAGTTGGCTGATCTCTGCTCTAAAATATACATTGAATATTAATAAAATTATCACCTAGGCCAGGCGCTGGCTCAAGCCTGTAATTCCAGCACTTTGGGAGGCCAAGGCAGGCAGATCACGAGGTCAGGAGTTCCAGACCAGCCTAACCATCATGGTGAAACCCCATCTCTAATAAAAATACAAAAAATTAGCTGGGCGTGGTGGCATGTGCCTGTAATCCCAGCTACTCAGGAGGCTGAGGCAGGAGAATCGCTTGAACCCTGGAGGCAAAGGTTGCAGTGAGCCAAGATCATGCCACTGCACTTCAGCCTGGGCGACAGAGTAAGACTCCATCTCAAAAAGAAAAAAAAAAAATTATCAGCTAACCATAAAGCAAGACTGGACCAATTTGAAAATATTGGTATCACAAAAGTTACATTCTTTGACAGCAATGCAATTAGGTTTATTATCAGCAATAAGAAGGTAACTAGAAAATCATTTTTGTTTGGGAATTTAGAAAAACACTCATGGGTCAGAAAGAAATTGTTGGAAATTAGAAAATATTTTGAACTGAATAACAATGAAAATATTACTTATCAAAACTTGTAGAAGGCAGCTAAGAAGGTACGTAGAGAAAAACTGTTAGCATTTAATGCGTATATTAGAAAATATGAAAGGCTTAACTTTAATAAGTTAAGTATCTAAGAATTGAGATTATTTTAAAAAAGAATTAGATTGTCAAATAAGATTCCCACGAATAAGAGATAAAGCTTTATTAATCATATCAAGAATACAAATAAAGAATACAGTCAAATCATGGAGAGGTCGAGAACACTTAGCTGGGCATTCTGAGTCTTTTATTATTTCTTTACTTATTAATATTTATTTATTTATTTATTTTGAGACAGAGTCTCCCTCTGTTGCCCAGGCTGGAGTGCAGTGGAGTGATCTCGGCTCACTGCAACATCTGTCTCCCAGGTTCAAGTGATGTTCCTCCTCAGCCTCTCTAGCAGCTGGGATTGCAGGTGTGCACCACCATGCACAGCTAATTTTTGTATTTTTAGTAGAGAAGGGGTTTTGCCAGGTTGGCCAGGCTGATCTCAAATCCTGGCTTCAAGTGATCTGCGCACCTTGGCCTCCCAAAGTGCTGGGATTACAGGTGTGAGCCACCGCTACCGGCTTTTTTTTTTTTTTTTTTTTTTCTGCATCCAAAGTTCTCTGGCCCAGAATACCTACACTGAAGGAATTATTTAAGTCATAAACCATCTCTGCTTTATACTCATATGGTTGTAGCTTACATGATATTCCCCAAGCTTTCACATCCTATAAATCTATAGATTTCAAGTTTCTTTAAGCAATTCTAAACAACCAAGGACACCTTGCTGAGCCTTTTGTAGATAAGGCCTTTCTTTCTACAAAACCATTTAATTTGGTATGAAGTCTGTCAGTTGTATACAAGTGACAAGTCTGTATACAATATACAAGTCTGTCACTTGTATATTTACAAGGAGAGATAAGACTACCTTCTTTTTTTTATGGTGGGGTCTCCCCCTCCAGCCAGGAGGACTAAATGCATTGCAGACCTGATATTTTAATCAATTTTTATATGAAGAAACTAGAGTCAGAACAACGGAATAAAGCTGAAAAAACAATACAAGAATTAATGAAGTAGAAACAAAGATAAAATGAAGAGAAAAACAATGCCAAACCAACCAACCAACCAACCAATCAACCAACCAACCAACCCTGGTTAATTGAAAATATTAGTAAAACTGATAAACTTCTGGCAAGATTAACAACATCAGAATGAAGACAAATACAGTCAATGTAAAACGACAAATGTACAGATGTGAAGATATTCCAAGGATAATAAAAGTATATTTGCCACAATTGTTATGCCATTAAATCAGAAATCTTCAGTTGAATGGATGCAGTGCTAGAGGAGAATCTGCAGCCAATGAAGTCCTGACTGAGAGACTTGAGAATAAGGATTGTTGAAGCTATGCATGTTATTAGCCGTAAAATGGAAAAGTAAGACTAAAAAAAAATGAAACTAAAATGTAAAAGTAAGACTCAAAGAAAAGGTAAGAATAAGAGAATGGAATGATTTATTACATGTTCAGTTCATGTAGAAATGAAACGACTAACAAAAATCAGGAGGCAAAGGAAAGAGAAGACAAAGGGCAGAATCTTCTGTGATAGCTGGAGTCAAAGAATATCACCTAAGGCTGACAAATGAAGTCCTTGGAATTTCAACACATTCACAAATACAAGTACATAAAAGTATGCAGTAAGCTACTAGCAGAGGGTAGAAGATAGGAGTTAATTTTATTGTAGCCCATAGTAGGGAACAGCTACATAGAACCTAAGGAAAGAGAGCACCAAGAGCACTTTATAAAAGTGAAATTACAAAATACCCAGTAGAAAAAAATACAAAATCTCTGAAATACCAGAGAGCTGAAATAAAAAGCAAAGATTATAGAACACAGTGAAATACATATATTTATAAAAAAGAAGATACTTCTAGCTTCCAGTCTGACAAAGAACATGAAAGTTATTTCATCTGTCTTCACAATAGGATGAAAAAATAAAAATACAAAAGAACAACTGAAAATCAACAACTCTTCTTAGAGCAGAGAATTGAGTTTATAGGGGAAATTGCCACCTTGACGACTGAAAAGAAAGGCGGATACTCAGAATCACAGCTTCCCAGGAGCAAAGGCCAAGGAGCAGAAGTCCACATCTGAAGCCAGCACTTAAATGGTAATTGATTAATTGCTGGAGACTGAGCATGGACTAGTTTGAGAGATTAAAAAATCCTAGATGTCCAGCCATACAAACTGAAATATAATTTAACTGTATAATCTAGCATTTATGCTCCTAGATATTTACCCAATGAGTCGAAAACTATGTCATGGAATAAACACCACACAAATCTTTATAATCGATTTCCTTATATTTGCCAAACATTGGAAGCAATCAAGACGGCCTTTAATAAATGAATGGGGCTGGGCATGGTGGCTCATGCCTGTAATCCTATTACTTTGGGAGGCCGAGGTGGGTAGATTGCCTGAGCCCAGGAGTTCGAGACCAACCTAGTCATAGGCAACATAGCCAGACCCCATCTCTACAAAAAATTAAAAAAAAATTAGCTAGGTATGGTGGCTCATGCTTGTAATCCAAGCAATTCGGGAGCCTGAGGTGGGAGGATCCTTTGAGGCCAGGGAGGTCAAGGCTGCAGTGAGCTGTGATCATGCCACTGTACACTAGCCTGGATGGCAGAGTGAGACCCTGTCTCGTAACAAAAATAAAGAACAGCAAAAAATAACTGAATGCATAAACAAACCGTGGTACATCCAGAGATTGGAGTATAGCAGGTAACTCAACAATAAAAAGAAAGGAACTATCATGCCATGAACAGACATGGAGGAAACTTAAATGCATAATACTAAATGAAAAAGCCAATCTGAAAAGACTATATACTTTATGATTCTAACTATATGGAACTCTGGAAAAGATAAAACTAAAGAGACAGTAAAAAATATCAGTGGTTACCAGGGGTTTGAGAGGAGAGAGGGAGGGATAAATAGATAAGGCATAATGAAACTTTAGATTGGTGAAACTATTCTGTATGATATTGTAATGGTGGATACATGAAATTACATATTTGTAAAAACCAATTTAACTGTAAAACACAAATAGTGAACCCAAATATAAACTATGGACTTCAGTTAATAATAATGTATCAATACTGGTTAATCAATTGTAACAAATATACCACACCAATGCAAGATGTTAATAATGGGGGAATCTGCGTGCAGGGAAAGAAGAAACAAAAGGGCACCCTCTGTACTATACTATCTGCTCAATTGTTCTGCAACTCTAGAACTTCTCTAAAACATAAATTTGATTAATTAAAAAACAAAATAAATAATATAATAAACTATGAAAGAATTCAAACATATCTGTCATAGCAATGAAGGTAACTTGATTTAAATCACATGGAAAAGAAAAGATCAGATCACAAAGAAAAACCTACCTCTGTACTATACACAGGAGACAAAGCAAAAGTAATCTGATTTAATGTTAAAAATAAAAAGAGAAGTAAAGGCAGATAAAAGGAAAATAGATTGTGTTCTTAGTGTGAGACATGGTACAATTAAAGGTCAAAATAGGTTTAAATGAGACGAAGAATATAACATAACGTTAAGCGATATGATTCACAATGAAGATGTAGCAGTTATGAATACCAATGCACCTATAACAGCATCAACTTTCAAAACAGCTGAAATTATAAGAGATGGTGGAGTGGGTAGTAAGTAACCAGTCAATCACACATGTGAAGCCAGCAGAATGTACAGAACAGCTTTTTACTTTGGTTCCAGTTTTCTCCAGGGTTTCCTAAATTATGTTTTTCATATGACATATCTGAAACTTACAGAGTTTTTGAGAACATCTTTAGATAAAGAAGACAACCTAAAAATGAAAAATTCGATATGAAAGTATATGTTTAGAATGAGAAAAGAAATCCCAGTAAAATATTAGAGCCTTGGAGATTCAAATTCCTTTTTCTGAGGTCTCTAGGAAACTCATGAGAAATACCTATACAGATATTCCCGACTCCATCCTGGCTTCCCTTCCCCCCAATAATTTTTTTTTTTTTCTTTTTTTTTTTGAGACGGAGTCTCACTCTGTTGCCCGGGCTGGAGTGCAGTGGTGCCATCTTGGCTCACTGCAAGCTCCGCCTCCCGGGTTCATGCCATTCTCCTGCCTCAGCCTCCCGAGTAGCTGGAACTACAGGCGCCTGCCACCACACTCGGCTTATTTTTTGTATTTTTAGTAGAGATCGGGTTTCACCGTGTTAGCCAGGATGGTCTCGATCTCCTAACCTCGTGATCCGCCTGCCTCAGCCTCCCAAAGTTCCGGGATTACAGGCGTGAGCCACCGCACCCAGCCCCTTCCCTCCAAGAACTTTCTATAACTCCCAACAGTACCCACTATTCACAGGCCCAAAGCAAATGAAAAGCCCTGAATCTTAGTCTTCATCAGGATCACAATAAAGCTGCCGCTGTACCATGACAATTATTTCCAATACCTGCAACTCCACAGGACACGGTGTTTCAGGAGAATCTCTCCCAGTGTTCTTGACTGTTGGGACATGAGTTGTAGCCTCCTCACTGGGGTCACTATGAAACGTTTTCTTCTTGGAAACTCCTTTTCTCATGGTCCCAGTTGCAATAAAACCTTTCCCCACCTCAGTGTCTTGCCTTCTAGCTGTGGCCTTCAGTTCTAGTTCATAATCATTGAGTTGCATATGGCTGTGTTCCTGAAGGGATCCCAAGGTGGAGGTGGAAGGTAGTCTTTGGGTTCTGTGAGCCTAAGGAGGGCTGGGGTAAGAATGGGTCCTCTGAGTGAAGTAACTTCAAGATATTGGTCTCAGGCTTTTCTATCTATCAAGTTTGACCTTCCTTTAACATACCTCCTGAATAGGAGTGTATTTAACTTCTCTTTCTGTCTCTTTGGAGTTGTAAGAAAACAAAAACAAAACTTTACCTTACCCTCACTTTATTATATGATAGATTCCAGGAAGATGGAAAATAACCAATTCTGACACTATTCTTTATTTATTCATTTATTTTCACATGTTTATTCATCACATATGTTCAGGAGATAGATTATATCTTGATAACATTTTTTTTCCAGGAAGGTTATTTCAGTGGTATGTTTTCTGAAAAACTCTGAATGTCTTTGTCTTCATATATGAGGAAGAACATGGCTGTGATATAATTCCCTTCCTAATCATGTAGACGTTATTTGATTGCTTTTGTCATTTAGCATCTCAGAGAAGAAATCTGCATATGTGGATCTCTGTTGGTTAATATTGCAGCAATTTAGGAGCTTTCCCATCCACATACTTCAGAAGGCTTTTTGCCAAATGTGTACCTATAATTCTAAGAAGAAATCTGTATATGCATAACATTTCTCTTCTTGCTTGTCTATTCACCACTCTCTCCTTTTTTCACATTCTAAAAAGCTTACATAGCTTATCCTCCTTTTTATTCATTTTATTTTGTCACTTTCTATCCTTTTATTTTCTTCTTCCAATTTTCACTGAAATTCTAATATTTTATTGTTAGTTTTCTTATACTCTTAACTTACCTTCCATCTTACCTCTCTGCTAATTAGATTCTTTGTTCTTCTCATTATAGTCTGTTGTATATATTTTGATTTTTTTGTTGTTTTTCAGAAAGTCTGTATATTGCTATATAGCATTCTATTTGCTAAACATTTTTTCTGCACTAAATCGTTTTCAAATGTTTGCTTTTACTTTGAGTATTTAAAAATACATTTCTGTAACATGAATTTTCTGCCTAGTTTCATAGTGTGCATGCTGATTTTACATTTTATGCCTTTTGACATGAAAAGAAATCAAGTCAATCCATTAAGATAGTGTGTGTAGACTACCCTTAGCGCTATTCACTATTACTCTTTTTAGTGCTCAAATTCCCACCTCAGAACTGCAGCTAGAGATGGATTTATGTACCTAAAGCAATTATTAAAGTTTGTCAGAAAATAAACTGGCACAGATTTGCTGCACTGATACAGGTATTCTTATTTTCCAACTTTAAGATGCTTCCTAACATTCTGACTTGGAATTAAAAACAAACAAAGACAAAACAAAACCAAAAAACCTAATGCTGTGGCTCTTCTCTCGGGTTTGCTGATAGCATTTACTTGAAGAACCATAGCTTTCAAGATGCAATGTTCTATGATCATCCCTCTTCTCCCTTCTCCACTTCCTTCCGCATTGTTTATTGGGAATCACAGGCTCTAACTGGCTGTAGAAAGAGTGTTACTAATAAGGGATTGTAGTATTCTGCCTCCAGGGCAGCCCCAATACTCCCTGTTCCTTAGTATTTACCCCATTGTGCAATCCCTTCCTACACTGTACAAGGATTGATTCATATAGTAGATAACATATAGCAGAAAAAATGGGATGTAATTTCTGAGATTACTAAAGTTTCCATCTTGAATATTTTTTCCCTCTCTTCTCTCTCTTTCCTGGATTCTCATTAGGGTTGAGGCCAATTGTGGCATCTTGAAGACACTCAGGCAGCCTATGGAGAAACGCCTTTGATAAGGAATAGAAGCTTGCCAGCAGCCACTCGAGTGAGCTTAGGAGTGGGTTCACCAGCACCAGTGAAGCTTTGAGATAACTGATGCCCTGGCTGACCCGTTGACTGTAATCTGATGAGAGATGCTGAACCAAAACCATCCAGGTGAGCCACTCCTAGATTCCTGACACTCAAAAACTGTGTGAGATGAGAAATGATTGTTATTTTAAGATGCTAAATTCTGAGATAATTTGTTATGGGGGCAAAATGTAACTCATATAGGAATGAAGAAAAATATTTTTGCTTGTCTCAAAAATGAGAACACACCAAGTATACAGATATTTGACAAGTTTTGCGGTGACTGAGCCAAGAAATCCCCCCAGTTTTTCTAAACCAGGAAACAGAGATTGACAGAGAAATAAAGTCTCCTTCTGAAAAAATAAAAAATAAAAAAGAGAGAGTTTTCTCTCTTCCAGCATGGCTGCACAAGTGGGGAGGGGTTTGTTTTCCAATCTAGCTCCTTTAGTTTTGCAATTAGTCCAAATTTCTCTCAGAACCTGAAAACAGATTTTCTAACAATTTCGGTTTTCAGTGTCATTATTTCAGTGTCATTATCTTTCTTTATTCCTAGATATTTTTGTGACCATTTGGGAAAATCTATAGCAAGATTTGTTAGTGCAACTCAATTTTGATGAAGAATTCCTATAATAAAATAGATTGCATATGATTTAAATTATTTTAACTTTATTGATATTTGTTTTATGGGTCAGGATATGGTATCTTGGTGCACATTCACCAACTATGATTATAAAATTGTCTGTTTCTTTTTTCAGTTTCACCCGTTTTTGCTTCATGTATTTTGAAAGTCTTTTGTTTGGTGTGCACACATTTAGCTTCACTGCATGTTTCCAGTACATTGATCTTTTCACCATCATATAATGCCCTTTTTTCTCTCTAGCAATTTTCTTTGCTTCGAATTCTATTTTATCAGACATTAATATAACCGTGCTTTCTTTCTTTTCAAAAAATTTCATGTTCGAATGCTAGGTCTTTTCCATCCCCTTACTTTCAACCTACCTGTGTCATTTAATTTGAAGTGAGTTTTCTATCAATAGTATATAGTTGGGTCATGGTTTGTTTAATTTTTTCACTTTTCCAATATCTGATCTTTGCTCAGTATATTTAGATTATTTACATTCAAGGTAATTATTGTTATTAAAGGTACTTTTGAGTATAACTCTTTGTATAGTTTCCTTAGTGGTTGCTTTGGGTATTGCAATATACATATGTGACTTACCATGGTCTACTAGTAGCAACATTTTATCACTTCAAATGAAATGTGAGAAATTTATTTCTAATTAAGTCCCTTTAGTTTCCTCACTTCTAAATATAGAGTTGTTCCTTGGTGTCTGTAGGGGATTTGTTCCAGGACTGCCCCTGCAGATATAAAAATCCATGGACACTCAAATCCCTTATGTAAAGTGGTTTAGTATTTGCATATAACCTTTGCACATTCTCCTGTCGACTTTAAATCATCTCCAGATAACTTAATGCAAAATACAATGTAAATACTATATAAATACTTGTTATACTATATTATTTAGTGAATAATGACAAGAAAAAAGTCTTTATATGTTCAGTATAGACACAACCATCCTTTTTTTTCCCGCAAATATTTTTGATTCTTGTTTGGTTGAATTCATGGATAAGGAACCCACAAATACAGAAGACTGACTGTAACTGTCTTGAGCATCAGATGGTATTATAATTTTTGTTTCAATTATCAAATGTGATTTATAAAATTGATGAGGGGGAATGATAGTTTTTTATATATACTATTTCTTCTCTTTCTGTTGTTACTTCTTCCTTCCTGATACTCTAGGATTCTTTTTTTAGATGATTTCCTTTATATCTGAAGTATATGCATTAGCCAGTCTTTAAGGGTAGGTCTGCTAGGAAAAAAATTCTAGTTTTTCTTCATCTGAGATGACTTTATTTTTCTTTAATTTATAAAGGATAATTTTCTGGATATAGAAGTTGCATTTGAAAGTTATTTTCTTTCAGCACCTAAAACACATTGCTAAGAGGTGTGTTTCTTCTCGCTTATTCAGTATAGTTATTTATTTTGTGCAAGAAATAACTTGTTTGGCTTCCTCTATGTGCCATGTTTTCATTCTTACCTAGGGATTAGTTATCACTACCTGAACCACAGAGGCTTGTACAGATAGTGCTTGTTGCCTTGTGAAACTTATGAGTCAAATACTACAAACAATTTTTCTTCCTAAGAGAAGTCAGGAGCAGTCCTACTTTCTTCTGGCCTCCATGGTTTTAGATAAGTAATCCTTTGTCACACAAACTGATGTTCCATGTGGACAATATTTCCTTTTGAGATGTTTTGTCTTTAGTTTTCAGAAGCTTATTGTGGTAGTATGGATTTCTTTGCATTTATCTTGTTTGGAATTCCTTAGCTTCTTGAATCTGTTCATCTGTTCAAGCATGAAGCATCTGTTCAAGCATGAAGCATCTGTTCATGCTTTTACCAAATGTGAGAAGTTTTGAGCCATTGTTTCTTCAAATATTCTTTCAGTCTTGCTCTCCTTCCTTCCTAGATTCCAATGATATGAAATTTGTATCTTTCATTATGGACCCACAGGTCTCTGAGGCTCTGTTTATCTTTTTAGTCTGTTTTCTCTGTATTTTTCAGATGGGGTGAATTCTATTAATCTGTTTTCACGTTTATTGATTCTATGCTCTTTCATATCCACTGTACTACTGAGTCCATCCAGTGAATTATTTGTGGGGGTTTTTTTTGTATTTTTTTGTTGTTGTTGAGATGGAGTCTTGCCCTTTGGCCCAGGCTGGAGTGCAATGGCACAATCTCGGCTCACCGCAAGCTCTGCCTCCCAGTTCAGAATTATTTCTTTTTGTTATTGTACTGTTAGTTCTATAATTACCCTGGAAGCCACTTATGGTTGCCTGGTCAATTCTATTTGTAAGTATTGTCAGGCTAACCTGATGTTAAAGGGATTTCTATTAAATTTCACAAAAGAATGAAACTTCATGAGCTGCCTTCCGTTGGAAAGTTGGAATTCAGGAAATAATGGGTCTGATTTATCCTCGTTTGTTGCTTGGAATGGATTTATGTACCTGTTGCTGTGTAATTCCTCTAATCCCAGGTCCCTAAACCATCTTGCTTTCTTCATACCACCTTTCAGGGCTTCCTTTAGTTGCTCCTCATATTATCAAAGGGATTATACTTGTGCTTAGCAGAAAGGAGCAGGGAGAAATGGATCCATGTCACCTTGTCTAAACTTAGTCTCATTCATCTACTCTTGATTTCATGATCTGTCTGCGGCCCTTGACATGGTACCTAAAATAATTTTCTCTCGGTCTACCTGAAACTATACTTCCTATTTATTCAGAAAATGTGCAGTGTTGGGCTGCTCTTTGTGGCAGGGTGCCCACTGGTTTAACAAAGGCATATCCAGACAAAGAGGAGTCTAAATGTAGATAATTGACTGTATTGGTCAAATATGGAAGAGCATTACTCAATGGAGAAATTTCTTAAATCAATCAGATTGGTTCCGTCTAAAAATTTTGAGCAGAGAATTTGTATAAAACTGTATAATCAGCAGTTATAAAAGTTGGTACAAACATGAAGAAGAGAGTAGAAATAATAAAGGAGTTTATGAGAGGCAAGATAGAGAGATTGATAAAAATCCCATCTGCAGAGCTGCTTAGAAACTTAAACATCTTTTCCTTTTCAGTTACTGTCAATGTGTCTTCACATGGCCCTTCACCGTTCATCTCCAGAATGTGGCTTGGGGAAATGTTTGTTCCTCACAAGGAGTATTGTCTCATTAATACAATCACACCATCGAAACAACTCTGATGGGATACTATTTGGAAATATTCACACATTCTTTTACCTTGATCTTTCTCCCCATTCACAGGAGCTAGATTGTGTGACATTTTCAGGAATAGGTGTTACAACAAAAAATGAGAAAAAGAGTTTTATTGTTTCAAAAGTCTGGGCCCTGAGATAACTCATAACTATAGAAAAAGAATGCAGTGAGGCAGAGTTAGACTTCCAACTCCTAAAAGAAACACAAAACTTTAGATAGCCTCATATCTTACGGGAACAGCTAATGATTTCACTGCACCGAGGAATGGGACTAAAATGTGAGGAACAGAGCCCAATCTGACACCTTGCAGTAGCAATGAGGAATGATTCAAAGGGATCCATGTGGCTGGCAGTTGGGAACCACCGAAGAATAAGGAAATCTCAGCAGGGCAATGCATAGCTGTTCATAACCATGGAGATCAGAGGTGCCCCTTCTAAGACTCTGGGATGATATGAGCCTCCAGCAGCTTGGATACAACCTGAGAAAAAGTTAGGTGAACTCCAAGATGCTAAGATTAAGTTCTATGACCTGATTACAGAGGGAATTCAGAAAGAATGTTACCATTGACTCCCAAGTCCTTTGTGTGCCTCTTCCCAATTCTGTTCATTTTCTCTCCTCTCAGTTATAACTACTTTCATAATGTTGTGTTCATTATTCTACCTTTTTTCTTTATAATTCACTACATTTGGATGTACCTCTAAATTTTGTTTAGTTTTGCATGTTTTTGAATGTTTTTTAAATGGAATTATACTGTATCTATTCTTCAACAAAGTTTTTCGCTCAACATTTATCTTCTTTTTTCATCCAAGGTGATGCATTTGAATGAATTCATGTATTTCCACTACCGTATAGAATTTTATATAAATACATGACAATTATTTATCTATTTTCTTATAAAGAGCATTTAAATTTTTTTCATATTTTGGCTATTACAAACAATATTACTATAAATATTCTTCAACATGTCTTCTCCTTCACATACACAAGAGCTTCTCAGAGGCAAAGCTAAGAATGGAATTGCTCAGTGTATCTTAGGGTAGATCAGCTGCTGATAGAAACTATTGCAAAATCTCACTAACTTAACGCTACAAACATTGCTTCTAACTCACTGCAAACCCCATGTGAATATTCCTGGTTAATTGATTCTCTTGGACAGATTGCCACAAATTGTGCTGCTAAAATCCTCAGCACTTGGTGTTATAGTAACCTTGGAAGACATCCTGAAGAAGACACAGAAGATCACCACTTTGGCTCAGAAATGACACTTACAGATTCTGTTCACACTCAATTGGCTGGAAGTAATCTCATGATCCTGACTAGATGTGAGAAAGCTGGGAAACCTAGTTTCTGGCTGGACAGCAGTTTCCCAACCACACATGTACACTATAGAAATGGAGCATAAATATTTATTGGTTCTGTTAGTGAGTTCTGCTGCAGCTAGGTTGTACAGACTGCTTATGTTCAATTTTGCAAGATAATTACCATTTGTTTTCTAAGAGGTGGTAACAATTTGCACCACCATTAGCAGTGTAAGAATTCTAGTTGCTCTGTATCTCATTTATTATGATATCTTGTAAGTCACTTCATTGTATAATTATACAGATTTGTATTTCTTTTTGAAATATGTAAATTCCTCAGAGGTGTATATCAAATAAATTATTAAACCATTTTGTGATGAAGGAATTAAAGTATAGATTACATAATCTATTAAAGTTTGGCCAGTAGGGCCTAGACTTTATTCTTCATAACCTAGCCGTCTTTTCTGAGGGTTTTAGAAATTTCCATCATATGCACTGAAAGCTTTCTTATTGTTTCTGTTTTTCCCTGTAAATTTAAGTGCTTAGAATAGTGCCATATAAATTATTAGCAATCAATACCTATTCTTTGAATGAATAAATAAATGAATTTCTATGAAGCAGTCACATTTCAAATCTTCATCATCTGGTTATATTATAGTCTGTTTTATTTCAGGTCGAATTCATTGGTTTGTAAATAAGAATTGAAAATCATATATTTAAGGGACAATTACCTCGTCATGTAAATGGCCAAATATTCCTTTTGGGGGAATAAAAAGCAGAAGCTTATTTATGTCAAAGTGTGTTGCTTCTTGCTTATTCATTATAGTTACTTATTTTGAGCAAGAAATAACTAGTTTGGCTTCCTCTATGTGCCATGTTTTCATTCTTATCTAGAGATTAATCATCACTACCTGAACCACAGAAGCTTGCACAGATAGTGCTTGTTCTCTATGAAACTTATGAATCAAATGCTACAAACATTCTTTCTTCCTGAGAGAAATCAGAACAGGAAATGTCAAGTTCATGACCATCAATCACACAGAAGGAGAGAGATCAGTATAAATTCTATAGAGTTTCAGATTTGTTAGGTTTATAATGAAGGTTCAAAGGGAAAGGGAGTTAGGAAGTACAAGTTAGCATGTAATAATGATTGCTTTTTGCCTTTTCTTATTAAAGCTTTTCCTAGACTATGAATAGTGGATGATTACAAATAGTTACTTTGATTTTCTATAGAAATTGCAAAACTACATTTGTTAGGAGAAAAAATCAACTTTGTTCTTTTAGAATAACATTTTTTCTTATGTTAAAAAGGGAAAAATATCTTTTCTTTCTTTGTAATATCAAGTATAATTAAAGAGAGATTTAGATTGCTCATGCTGAGGCTCCTACTTCCCAATGCATAAATCATGTTTTGTAGATCAGTGAGTTTTGCATTATTTAATGGTGTGGTAGCATAATCATCTTAGATCAGTTTGTTCAGCTTGCAAGGCCATGGGTTCAGATGTTACGGAGCAGTCAGCTTTTCTTAGTTGTAAAACAAGCCTGAAATGGGTTGGACTGAAGGGGAGTGGCTGATGCATCCACCCTCCCAGAGAGAAGGGCAATGAGAAGGCATGATGAGGGGCACTTTCAGGTGGAGTGAGAAGTTCTGGGACAAGATTTTATGAAGCCCTGGGACAAGATTCTCCAGTGTTTTAGGGTGGTATATTTGTGCAATTTCACAGGAATGGATATATGTCTTCCTGATAAAGGTGGTACTTTGGAAACAAATGCACCTGGTGCTGGCATAGATTCAGGGAGGTCAGACACTGAAGGCATGTAGGTATGAATGAACATGAGTTAATATTTATTAGCCAATTCTTGGTGAAGGGATTAGTTTGCATTCTCATATAAGGAAAGGGGGAAAGCCTTTAATGCTCCATCTACTACTTGGGTAGGAGACCATCATAGACAGCACAGGTATCACCAAATTCCTGCTAAGCAAGGGAGTCTGAAAAGCATCTCACCTAGGGCCTCCTCCTGCCTCTACCAGAGGCATATGACAGACGCAGGTCCCATTTATGTTTGGATGCAGCATTAGTGTGTCAGGAGGATGGTAACAGCAGTTATCCAGTGGTGCCAAAGAATTTTAGGTAATTATGCAGATTAGTACCTTTCGTCATGTAGCAGACTAATGCCAAATAGAAAATTGCCCTGAGAGTGGTGGTGAATGTAAGAAGCATGTCCACTGGGAGGGACCACTTGTAAACCTCCAGCTAGAGCATCAGGATATGCTTTATTCAGTTCAGACAGACTTCTGGGGTGATGCTTACCTCTTGGGCCAGAGCTTTCCCTGAGTGATGCGCAGTCCGCAGGGACTCAGGTGTGAAACATGCTGAAACATCATTGCTCTAGCAGGAAGGGAAAACATCAGAAGTGGGGAAGGGATGAGCTCTGCCTCCATCTCTCATGCCAGTATGACTGGAGAAGAAAGAGACTGAAGATCAGAGAAAAAAAAATCCCACTTTTAAAATTTTTCTCCTGGGAAATGTCTCTAAAGATAGATTCTTAGGAAAATGAATACTCAAGGTTGACCTGTCATAAAATTGGATAATTGCAGCACACAGCCTTACCCTTTCTAGAAACATTTGAATTATTTTCTTATTTAAGAAGATGCAGGGTGAATAAGTTTATATAGATGCTTGCAAATATTTTTTTCTACTTATATCTCATGAAACAATTCTTCAAACTCTTCACATCTACAAAATTGGTGTCTTTCTAGGAAGCATGTTTTGAATCAATTACATTGGTCATATTGCATCATTTCCACTTCTGTCCAGTTTGAGAAGTAGCACAGTTAATCCATGGGTAGTGTGGTCATTGAATAGCTTATCCTAAGCTACAGGTATCCATTTGCATAGCATCATGACAGTTTTAATCATTCACAGATGTATATTT
Source organism: Homo sapiens (assembly GCF_000001405.40). NCBI lineage: Eukaryota > Metazoa > Chordata > Mammalia > Primates > Hominidae > Homo > Homo sapiens. Next base: position 93,854,539 of record NC_000007.14, on the reverse strand, counting down.
ATTGTCTTCACGATGTAAGACCTACTCTTGTATTTATTCATTTATTTTTGTTTCCAGTTTTTTTCAGGTAAGGTTCATATAAAATGAAATGCATAACTCTATAGAGTATAATGTAATAAGTTTTGATAAATCAGTTGAATCATGTAATTCATACCTCTATGAAGATGAAAATATTTTTATCATCCAAAAATGTTATTTTTCTAGACCTTACCACATGATTACACCCTCCCTAGTATACCAGTGATGTGATATTTTCCCCTCTAGTTTCCTTTTTCTAGAACTTCATGAAATGGAGCCATACAGTATGCACTCTTTTGTGTCCAGCTTCTTTTACTTAACATAGTATCTGTGAGATAGTGTATATGAGTCATTTTTCATTGTTGAGTACTATTCCATCATATGAATATTCTACAATTTATTTTTCCGCTCCCTTGTTGATGGACATTTATATTATTTCCTGTGTTTGGCTACTTTGAATAAATCTGCTGTGAATAATCTGTGCCAGTATTTAAAGGGTAAGTTTTATTTCTTTTGGGAAAACTTTAGGAAGAGAATTGTTGGGTTATTGGTGAATGTTCAAAATTATTTCAAAAACTGCCAAACAGTACTCCAGCATGGCTTTATTTTTTTATACCCTCAGCAACATACAAAAATTTTGATTACTTTACATTTTTGCCAACACTTAAAGTTGTTAATCTTTTTAATTTTGGTCATTCTAGTAGCACTATCTCACTATGCTTTTAATTGGCATTTCCCTAATGATCAATGTTATTGAGCAATTTTCCATGGGCTTTTGGGCCATTTTTATATCTTCTTATATGAAATGCTTGTTCAAGTCTTTTTCCCTTTTAAATTAAGTTGTTTGTCTTTCTATTATTGAGTTGCAGGAGTTTTAAAATATATCCTGGATATAAATCCATTGTCAGATATATGTTATGCAAGTATTTTCTCCCAGTCTGTGGCTTGACTACTCATTTTCTTAATAATGTCTTTTGATAAGTGTAAGTTTTATTGTCAATTAAGTCTAATTTATCATTTTTTCTTTTATTTTTTTTAATTTTCTGTTTCCAGACTAAAAAATCTTTTCATACTCCTTGATGGTAAAGACCATCTCCTATGTTTTGTTGAGACCTTTTTTGGTTATTCCTTTTTGAAAGAGTTTTGGTAAATGGTGTTTAAAACATGTTCTATTTCATATAAATGGTAGAATTTATTGGCATAAAACTGTTTATAATATTTTCTTACCATCCTTAGAGTGCCTGCAGAATCTTGTTTGTTATTCCTGATAATGGTTATTTGTATTTGCTCTCTTTCTTTTAAAATCAAACTTCCTATATATTTAGACATGTTATAAATATTTTCAAGGAATAAATTTCTGGCTTTCTTAATTGTATCCATTGTTTCTCTGTTTTATACTTAATTAATTTCAGTCCTTATATATTTTTTATGATGTTTGTAGTAATCGTTTATAACTTTATTGAAGTGTAATTGACATTCAATAAACTGCACATATTTATGGTATTCTAATATATACATATAAACACATATAAAACTATCACCACAATCAACATAATATCTACTCATCATATCTACTACCTTTGTTTTCTTTCTATATGATTCTTTGTAATCTATCAGTCTATCCATCCATCCACTGCTCTGCTTCCCCAAGGAATTACAAATCTGCTTTTTTCCCCCACTATGGGTTGTTTTGTATTATCTAGAAATATATGAAATGTGTGCGTGAGTGTGTATGTGTGTGTACACATGTATATATAAAATCATACAGTATATTATTCTTTATCTTTTTTCACTCAGCATTTTTATCTTGATGTTCATCTATGTTTTTGTGTGTATGGATATGCCACAATTTATCCATTCACCTGTTGATAGACATTTGGAACATTTCTGATTTGGGGGTTATTACGGTAAAACTTCTATGGACATTTGTTTACAAATTTTGTATGTACACATATATATTTTTCTCTTCTGTAAATACATAGCAAGGGAGTGGCTGAGTCATATGGTAGTTGTATGTTCAACTTTTTAGGAAACTACAAAACTGTTCTCCAAAGTGGTTGCTTCACTTTATAATCCATTTATCAGTGTATGAGACTTCTAGCTGCACAACATTCTCACCAAGACTTGGCATTGTCCGTCTTTTTAATGTTAGTAGTATGTATGATATGCTATAGAGACCTTAGGTTATTTATTTCTGAAAAAAAATATTGATTTTGTTCTAACAGAAAGACAACTTAGCTGGCCTCAGTCTCCATTTTTGTCTCCTCTGTGGAGGGCAGGAGTTAAAATATCCACTTATTTCTTTCAGATTTTCAACTGGTATTTACAGAGGGCTTCCTGCAATCTCTCCTATGCACATGGTTCAGGTGTCCACTTTATGTTTTTGTGCTTTCCTCTTGTGGCTTTCTCATCTGGGGGTTTGTCCCTTACTTTCCAGTTATAATGACTGCCACAAACTCTATAGTTTGACTCCCACAGGGTTTAATGACCTGACCTGTGAAGAAAAGTCAAAATTAGTGATTTTTTTTCCTGTTTTGTCCAGAGTTTATAGTTAGTATCTGCGGGGTGGTTATGCTGATACAAACTACTCCTCTATTAAAATAAGAAAACTTCTATATGCCCATGCCAAAACTTTTAAGATTGAACAGCTCATGCAAGACTAGTTATCAAAATAACCAAAGTTGACTCAGATTAGTGGCAGTGAGTACCTGAAACTGAATGGAGAAGAGTTATAGCCGGTTTGGTATTTTCCTCTTACAAATTAAAACCATTCCATTCCTGGGCTGGGTACTCATCTGGAACTGGAATTAACCTACTAAATAATGTTGTTTGTGCTGGAAATTTCATGTCTGAGTTCCTGTGGATTGAGGTACACATTGTCCACACACAAGGAGCCAATGCAGTGTTTTTTTAGGAATGTACCATAAGAGGCAGGGTAAACATTCAAATTACGTTACCTTTCTATGGATATGGGATGAAGACTGGAAACCAAGGTGAAACCAAGTTGAAAGAGCAATGAGTAATATATTACAAAGTAGAAGTGGAGAATTCTATATAAATTTCTGATCTGCTGATTTTTTTTCGTATACAGTCCATTGAATTTGATTTGCTGCTATACAGCTCCAGTGGCGACTGCAGAAAGTGTTAAAGGATGCAAAGAACATTAGGAAGAATAGACCAAATTCAGCTTTTATGGTTATTTCTGTTTAGGTAAATCTCACCTTTCACCAGGAGTGGAATACAATTGAGAGATCTACTGTTAGATCAACAGATATTCAGTTATCTTTGATGTATAATCAGAGTCATTTTTTGTCCAAGGACAGATAGTTATTAGTTACCTGCACTGATGGTGATCAGAACATATTAATATATCTTTATGTTTGTACATCCTGTCCTGCTTGCTAATGGAAGACAAGAAATATAGATAAATAGTGTAAAAAATGTATACATCGGGCAATGTACCTTTTCAAAGCATTTCACATGATCTTTCCTTAATGCACAGTCTCATATTATTTAGTTTCTATGTGTGAATTGAATTCAGGAAAAGAGACTGGTTGAATTTTGAGTTAGTGCCCTTTTCTCTATTAAATATAATATTTCATTAAATTTTAAGAAGGTTTTATTAATTCCCCATTTCTTAGAAACATGTGCAAGAGTTTATAGTTCAGTCAATAGTCTCTTTTCTTTCCTAATCTTGTTTTTTAATTTGGAAAAGGAATTTTACTGACCTTTATTGGAAACAGAGATACTAAATTGCCAAATGCCCTAAATGTAGATAGATGTAACTTAAATCACCTCTCCTGTTGATTTGAACTTTGAGTCTGTCAAGCTATTGATTTTTGTTTGTTAGCATGAATTTTAAATAGCATAAAATGTTGTTTTCCCAAGCTTTTCCTCCAAAAAAGTACCCTTTTACCATTATTTGTTTCTCTCATAAACTTGTGCTTTAAGAGGGGTTTTTTTTGGCACAACAAACTGCATTTGCTAGACAGTAGTTTGTGTTGTCCTATGACAGCTAAATATATAACTTTTATTGGGTCTTTTAAATTATAGAAAATAATGTGTGAGCCCACACTTATTTCTGTTGTGGAAGTCAAAGAATGCAGGGACCTGAGTAGGGATGCAGTGAGTAAAATAGTAAGAATACAATGGTTTCCTTGATAACAACATCCATCTTATTAGAAACATACTTAAGACCAAGTTTAACAAAAGAGAATCACTCTCAGGACCAGTAATTTCTGCTGATATCCAGAAAATAAAATTGGCTGCATGACATATTTGCAAATAGTATTATAGAATGACATCTCATTGAATGTATATAATTTTTTGATTTCTAAGGAGAAAGTAATGTTAAAAAAAAACCAACATCACAGAATGCTAAATACTTAAATGCATCTAAATATTCTCAACATCCTTGATTTTCCAAATTTTCTCTTTTCTGTCATGTCAGTTGTTTCAACTTTCATGGAACTGCCCTGATGGAAAAGCATTCTCCCTGTTTAGAGGTGATAGAATGTCACCCTCGAAATAGAGTAATCCCCAAGTGCTTTCATTTATAAAGATTGTGCTTATGCTCGATTACACTTAGTGAAATTGTAAAGTTCATATTATACTCGTTCATACAGTTTCCACAGTGTCCCTTTCTCAGTCTTGGGGCCTCTTATCTGTAGAGAGCCCCATATTGTCATTACCCCTCTGCCAGCCTCCGTCAAAACTTATCCTTTCTATTTATAGTTACCACTGCATAATGCTAACTGTGTAGTAGCACAGGGCTAACTCATATAATAAATGTACTTATATTTTAGGTCCCTAAATAGAAGTTGAGTAAATTTCTAATGGTGGATGTCTTATCTTTATCTTCAGTTTTCTTTAAAAACAGGAAATGAAGTTAGCGACCTGGCCCTCTTCACTCTCCTAAAACTGCCCTTGGAAAAACACTGCTGGTCTCCTAATGCTGTGCATAACAGATAATTTTTAAGCTTATCTTATTTGCCATTTCGCCAGCATTGAGATATTGCCTACTTCGTTCTGACCATTTTCTCCTCCCTTGGCTTCAGACATGGCTCTATCCTGGTTTTCTGTTTCTCTGACGCCTCTTTCTCTATTTGCTTAGTTCCCTGAGATACTGGTGATTCCCAGGGGTCTATTCTTGACACTCTTTTCTTATGTTTTCTCTCTCACTGAATAAACCAATTTATTTCCATGTTTCTATGCATTTTTTCATCCTACACCTTCTTGAAGTTTTGTCTGTCACACTCACATAGGCCTTTCAAGATTCAGTTGGCTGTCAGTTCCTGTTAATGATGCTTTGAAGCATGATCTCACTTATATGTAGAATCTAAAAAATTGAACTCGATGGTTACCAAAAGCTGGGAAGGATGGGAGAAGTAGGGGGCAGGCGGGGATGGCTAATGGGTACAAAAATAATAGAAAGAATGGATTAGACTTAGAATTTGATAGCACAACAGGGTGACTATAGTCAATAATAACTTAATTGTACATTTAAAAAGAACTGAAAGAGTGTAATTGGGTTGTTTGTAATTCCAAGGATAAATGCTTGAAGGGATAGATACCCCGTTCTCCATGATGTGATTATTATGCCTTGCATGCCTGTATCAAAACATCTCATGTACCCCATAAATATATATACCTACCATGTACCCACAAAAATTAAAAATGAAAAAAATAAAAGTAAAAATATATAAAAATTTGAACTCATAGAAATAGAGGGTAGAATGGTGATTACCAGAGGCTGAGCACAGGGAATGGGTGTGAAAAGGGGAAATGTTGGTCAAAAGGTGCAAAGCTTTAGTTAGACACCAAGAATGAGTTCTGGTAATCTATCGTACAGCAAGATGACTATAGTTAATAATAATATATTGTATATTTAAAATTGCTAAAAATTGATTTAGGTGTTCTCACCACAAAGAAACAATAGGTATAGGAGGCGATAGAGATGTTAATTAGCTTGATTTGCTCATTCCAAAATGTATATATTTATTAAAGCATCACATTGTACCCCATAAATATATGCAATTATTGTCAATAAACTAAAACTAAAAAAGAAAAAGCCCAGCTCAGATTAATTCTTTCCTGGTCTTGTTTAGAGCAAATCAACCCCTATTCTGTAAGAACACTGATTTTTATACATACTTCTGTTATTGCTCTTATGATACTATTTACATGTTACTTTCTCCAGTGACTCTGTGAGCTAATGAAGGGTAAGTTTGTGTTTTATTGATCTTTGTCTCTCCCCTAGCGCCTAATACAGGAGGACTATATTCACTCAGCTAAGCAAGAGAAAATAAAATGGTTTGCTTGTTATATCATTATCTCCAGAGTAAATTATGTGAGTACCAATACACTCTCAAAGTTAATTGAAACCAAAAAGGATTAGTATGACATATGGCACATGCTCAATAAGTTTATGTCAAATGGATGAGACAGAATATAAATAGATAAGCAAATAAAAACGTAGATGCTATTCACCTGTATTGATTCAAACTGTTTTAGTCATCATAGCAAGTTTACATAGCTACAGAGGTGGTAGGGTGTTAGAAAGTTCCAGTTCCAAATGTGTGTAATTAAATGGTACATTTTACCTTGAAATCATTAAATCACATGTGCTTCCATAGTATATAGATTCATGTAAATTTAGCCAAGAAAGTCTTTCTTCATTTGTACCAATTTTTAAATTTGTATTTTCCAATAGCCTTTTAAAAAATTCCACTGGCTATGCACGGTGGCTCATACCTATAATACTAGCATTTTGGGAGGCCAACGTGGAAGGATCACTTGAGCCCAGGAGTTTGAGACCAGGCAAACTCCTGGGCAGCAAAGTGAAGCCCTGTCTCTACAAAAAAATAGACAAAATCAGCCGGCATGGTGCTGCATGCCTGTGGTCCCAGCTACTCAGAAGGCTGAAGCAGGAGGATTGCTTTAGCCCAGGAGTTCAAGGCTGCAGTGATCTGTAATGCTTCCACTTCACTCCAACCTGGGTGACAGGGTGAGACTCTGTCTCCAAAAAAAAAAAACAAAAGTTCCATTGACAAATCCTTCATGTATCCATTGTTCATGCTATCTTCCCTTATGCTTTAATTGTATGACGTTTAACTATTAACTATTTTCATTTATTTGAATTAATTTGACTTCAAGTTAAATCTGACTAGGAAGCAAAAAAGAAATGCCAAAGGAGAGACTACTTCCTCTTCAGAAATAAAATGAAATAAATGATTTTTTTCATTTGTTAATACAATCAATCTTTCAACATTCAGAAAAGTGCATCTATACCTAATGGTTAGAGTCTTTGTGGTAACACTTATGATAAATAATTATTTTGTTCAATAATACATTTGAGATAATTTCTTAATTAGTCTCTCAGAAGTCTCTTGTGAAACTAAGAATTCTTTTTTTTTTTTTAATGGTATGGGAAGAAGTCCTTTATTTTATCATGTGACGCCACATAACAGCTGCCTAACCATACAATGCAGATATGAGTAGAAAAGATGGCTCAGAAATAGTTTACTAGTGTTAGTGACTCAGTTAGTGACCATTATGATAAAAGGAATAAAGTTTTGACTGATTTACAGGAGTTTTAAAATGCATTTTATATTGAGAATTTATGTCATGCTTTCTTAAAACAATTATTGTATTGAACTAAAAATTAACTAGTAGTTTGTTCACATAACAAATCTACATTCAAAGACATGCTTACACATTTTCCACTTAGTCTATTTTTCTGTTCTCAGCATTACTACAAATGCCTCATTCCGTCATCATGTTGAATTCCTCAGCATCTTCTATATCATTTCCAGGGGCATCTCTGGGAAGTAATGATGCCTATCTTCCCTCAGAAGCACTGACAACCCCAATATACCACAATTTATACCTTTTCCCTTCTCTGAGGTGTGCTGCTTTTAGGCACAAAAGAAAAAAACACACTACCAGGATTTGAGAAACTAAGTTTTGGGCCTGGTTAGGTCATAAACTACAGAAACCTTATGTCATATATTCTCCCCAGGTGCTTGTTTCTCCACTGCAAAAAAAAAATTCATATTTGCTTGGTCCTTTGTAGTCCTTTACTATTTCATTTATCTTCGTGATAACCCTTAAATTTAAGTAAGGTAGCATTATTCTTGTTTTAAAGAAGAAATTCAATATTAAAGAGGATATAGTCTGCCAAAGATCCCACAAGTAGTAATGTCATAGGCGGAGCTAAACTCACACACTCTCACGCAGATCCCAGGACTGATACATGCCGTGCTAATAAGTTTGCTAAAATGGATGAAGTGGCAATTTCTCAGGTCCCTTCCAGTGATCCTCTTCTCTGCTTCTACTTGCTATTTGTTCTCTCTTCTCTCAACTAGCATTAACATCCGAAACTATATATAATCACCAAATTTCATTTACCATGGTTTTTGGATTTAATTATTCTTTAAATTTTTCTATTTCCATGTTAAATCCAGAAAAATGTTACTTTTTCGAAAATTTCTGCTGTTGCCTGCCTCTCTGAAGGCCATGGGACTTACCTATTTGTTTGTTGAAGCAGAAATTTTCAACATTTTGCAAATATCGCTAATTACCTTTTATAACTGTAAAGACAATTATTCTATACTTAAAACCAATTCAAAATAAAATAAATCCTCAGTACTTCTTATTCCCTGGAGTAGTAATTTTAACTAGATTCTATAGATTCATTGCTTTCTACTGTGTGCCTTTATTTGGGAAATACTGTTAGTCTACCTTTCTATTGTATCTCTTTCCCTAACAAGAAAATGTCAGTCTTAAGAGTCAGGAAAGCTTTTACTTTCACTATCACATATGAAGAATGAACTAAACACCTAACTTGGAAAGTAAAACTTAAATGAGGGATTCAGGGACGTTTCCCAAGGGGTCATATGATCAATTTAAAAGTTGGTATGATGTGCCTAAAATAACAAATTAATTCTTTTACTTATAATAAATGTACAGATGTGCTGATTAGTCATGCTGACATGTACATATGAAATATGCCCAAACCAAATTAAAAGAAAACAAAATACATTCTATGGCAATCTTGAAAAGTCAGGAAGCTCAATAAATATTAAGAATATGCTCTCACAATGAGAGAATTAAACATTTGGTAGTTAACATAATTTAACATGCAAAAAATGAGATAATATACAGGATGAGGGATGAGGAGTACACATAGGAAATTTTTGCGATTTTCTTCATTTTGATTGTATTGCTTTCTTGTCTTCATGAGGGAAGATTTTGAGTTCAAAAGTAACAAAATAAGAGGGGAACTCACATCTTTCTGTTCTAAATGGTATTCTTGCGCTATTTTCTCAGCGGTCCATGTTTCTTGATAAAGTTTATGATTATTGAGAAAAGTCAATGCTTCTATAATGGAAATTTTGCCTTTGGGAATGCTCTTAATATTTATTATATCAAAGTGATAGCCTTTGGGCAATCTGAATTCCTCTGGCTCTTGACGTGTTTCAGCAGCTTTTACCTGCACGGAAGACACAGGATCTTTGGAATCAACATATACATCTTTTAGAAATGGCAGCATCTTGTCATCTTTACGAGCAATCTCTACCTTAATTTCTGGATAGAGACTAATCTGCTCTTGCAGGAGGCTGTTGGTAGAGGGGTAACCGGGAGTGGGAGAGGGCTTCATCTTGCTGATTTCCCGTTCCGCTGGGTTCTCTAGGTTGAAATTCCTGATCCCGCGAGTCACCGCAGCCCCCATCTCCTCAACACGATGCCCTCAGATTCACGCCGCGCAAGGGAACACCGACACAGTAAACCTCCGGCGAAACTGAGAATTCTTATAATATCTTATGAAATTAACTGGTCTTTTAATATTGTGCCATCATTTGTAAGAATTATATTCAATACCTTAATTTAAGCCACTCTAAAAATAGCAAAGCTGACAAAAACGACTAATCCTTGTAACATACCATCTTGTGTATCCTAAAATCAACCATTCACCCATTATTTAATTTTTGGAAAACAACTAATTTGAAATAATCGGGTTTTCTCTTTCAATATCTCAGGTTTTGAACATCTTTTGGGGAAAAGAGAAATTTCATTCTCAGACTCTTTCTATGGTTAAGATAAAATTTTTTTGTTAACTATATTCACTCAGCTAAGAAAGAGAAAATAAAATGGTTTGCTTGTTATATCATTATCTCCAGAGTAAATTATGTGGGTGCCAATAAACTCTAAATTCATTGAAACTGAGAAGGATTCGATTGCAACACACAAACAACTTTTCATGATTGCTGCTTACTTTCAAGCACATCCTTGTATATAATTAGTTCCTCTTCCTTAAAACAGGTCTTGTTTTGTGCTTCATAATTTCATGTCTAAGATGATAATATAATTTTCTGAAGTTGATTTACACAGCATATCAAGGGAGTAGTAGCATTATTTATTTTATTGGATGGGAAAGACTTATTGGGCAAGAGAAAATTCTACGTCTATTTTTTCTTTGAATCTGCTTTGAAGACAAAATTATGAAACAAAGACATAAAAGTGCAATTGCTATTTCTGACAATATTGGGTGAGCAAAAGATGGCAGCCCCAAAGAAAAGAAAGAACAAAATTATAATAACTGTTGTGGTTGCCATAATAGTAAAGTGTAGGAAAGTTTCCAGAAACATCCCAAAGGAGTAAATTATTCTTCTCTGAATACACTCACAGCATAGAAAACAACTCATTATAGAGATTTCCTTTGGGAGTTCTCTAATAGCTATAATGACAAATCTCATAAGTGTACGTATCACCCTAAGATATAGCCATGGAGTCATGCCTTTATATTTCCAGAAAGTTATATGCTTTACCCAGTAACTAGAATTGGCCTTGCCATGTTTTTTAAAATTCTGAACCTTAGTTCATTACAGATGGCTATACTGAGTCAATGCAGAGGTTGAAGATTTTTCTGGAGATCTAGAAATCTCCTTGCTGTGCACTTTCTGTCTTTTCAAGATGAAGTTAATTGGAATACTTTAAGCCTGAATATAGGAGAGTGAGTCATTATTCAGCATTCACAGTCTTCCTAACCCAAGAATGCAAAATACTTTAAAGACCAAACCAAATGCAAAATTTGGGTTGAACTCAAGGCTAAAGAAAATGCAAGGAGGTGGAAAAATACCTAAAAGCTTCGTGTCCATTTATTCTCAAGGGCCAGTTACCCTAAATTGAAGAAGAGGAATGCAAAATGCAGCAAGGAGATTACCACATTATCCTAAGGAATTTTGATAACTATAGGAGTTAACTTAGATCAGCATCCACAAATCCAAAAAAATCAAAGAACAAAAATTACCAAAAACAAGAGAACATAAAAAAAATTAATTGTATACCACCAAAATAATCTAAATAACTAACTTGTAAATCTAATTCCAGTGGAAATTACATAGCAGTGCCAAAGAGAAAGAGATATAAATTGCTACGTAATATCAGAAGGGAGTACACTATAATCCCCTCTGAAGAGATCACTGTGCTTTCCGGAGGCTCATGGAGCTGCTTCTCATCCAACTTCCTACAAAGCAACTTAATGATTTTTTAATATTTTTGAAGGAATCAGTCACACACAAACACACACACACACACACACACACACACACACACACACACACACACACAGAGTTATGTTCATATTAAGCCTTCCAAGAGTGATTGAAGCATTACTGGGACTGCTGAAAGAGGTTAATAGTTTTCTAGACAAAAGCTGCCTTAGACACCAAGAACAAACAACTGAAGATTAGTTTGTCTAAAAGTCTCATTACTGCATGTAGAAGCATGGTAAGTCTTTTTGTACATACTCCAAGAAAGAAAATGAGATGAATTTTGGGAACATGACATTATGTTTCTGGTGGGATTTTAAATTTTGGTCTAATTAACATGGCATGAGGTTATCTTTCAGAAAGTCCCAGAACATATGTGAATAGGAATGCTTAAGATATACATAATTGTCCATGTTGAGTAAATCACTTGTAAGGGTACTAAGTCCCCTAATAAACAGACTGAGCAAAAATCATGAAAATTATTTTTTAGTCACGAGTCTAGAGAAAAATTTATCCAAAGATAAAAAGATGAACTAGTTATATATTCATTTTTCAATTTACCTTTGATATGATAAGATATACATCAAATTTAAGATCAATTAACTAGTAGATACTATAACTTAGTTTCCTTGTAAACACACCAGACATGTGCTCATAATATTTTAAAATAGATTTCTTAAGGGAAATTTGACTTCTATCTATTTTAAAACTGTTTAAACACTTTGAACTATTCGGATGAAATATTCAAATGGATGTTAGTAAATAATAGAACATATGTTACGATTTTGTTGTTTTACATGTAACTTCCTAATGAAATTATACCTACAGAATAGACTTTTTGCTTTGGGGAATTTTTTATGCCAACAATTGTTACCAGTGTGTGTCTGATGAAAATTAAGAGAGGCTAATAGGCAGTGATGCAACAACTCCTCCTTACAGAGTGGATTTAATGAGATTAGATCAAGCTGTGTTGCCTGTGTACATACACAGGCAATGCCTCTTGTTCATGGCAACCTGGAAATCTTTCAGTAGACTTATTACTTTGCATGACCACATTCTTATAAGGCATATTAGCAAATATGTAGCAGCCTAAATTCCAAAAAAAAAAAAAAATAACAAAACTGCACAAGCCACATTATAATGCTAAAAGTGAAGAAAAGTCTTGCACTTTGGGTAAAAAATTCAGGTGTGAGTACAACCAAGTTGGATAATTTGGGACAAAAGTCCATTTTAGGAAGGGTCACCCAAATCAATATTTTATCATCATTATATATAAACCAGATATTTGCCAAATAACTTATTCAATTTGGGAAGAAACACTCTATAAATTATAAAAATGGTTTAGTAGAAAAGTTATTCTACATGATAGATTCCTACAGGGGAGAAAAATCTCAAATATAACCTTAAGAAGGTCCATCACAACTTTGGGTGAATAGTTTTAGTGATTTTTTGAAAGTATTTTCCTACCTGAATGCCACTGAGGCTGTCATTCCCATAATTAAAGTCACGAGTCTAGGTTAGAAAATGTTTATAGCCTGGGAAAAGAAAGACATTAATATTTTATAAAGAATTAACTACTATCAGAAGGGTGTCACCTAATACATCATGTTTAGGGTTATGAAGGAAAAGAAATTTTTAACATGGAGACAGAAAGAATACAAACTGCAAAATGTCTGTAGGAAGTTGGGACAATAGAAAGACATAGAATGAAGGTTTAAGGTCGGAATATCCACTTCAGAAAGGAATCTGAAGATTCATGTGGGAGTAGGGAGAGGAGAGGGTGGAAAAATAGAAGACAAACTGTGAATCTTCAGAATTGAGTTTGGAAGTGGTCTCTGTCTAACAGTCACGAGAGGAATGAAAAGTTTGACAAGAAAATAACACCTGTTAGAATCTGTCATTAATAGAATGAAGAGTGTGGTTCTGCAGAAGATTCTCTGTAAGCATAAAAATCACAAGCAAGATTGACAGATCCTGTTTCCAAATAAAGTCTGACGGGTATAATTTCACGAAGTATTAGTCTGTGGATGACCAAATTTCCCCCTGCAAAAAACAGGAACCATGCCTGGTTGAAGAAAAGGAAATGTAAGGTGTCCATTAAAATAGACAAAATTCTGTCGCTAGATTTTCACTTCATATTGACAACTATTAATTAACTGCTGCTTTGGGTGATTGCCTGGGTTAGGATGTTAGGACATCAGGCCATCAGACTTCCGTGTAATCTCAAACAGTACCATCATGGCATTTTCTTGATTGGTCTATTTTCCTTTTCTGTGGGCTTTTAAGATTTTAATATTATTAGGCTAGTCATTTGTTTAATTTCTCTCCTTCCTGCAAATTCTTTCCCATTGAAACAATGTTTCTGAGAGATGATGTGACTTGGTGATATCAATCAGGGGCTGCTTACCCAAGAGGAAAATTTCCCATTGGAAAATTACTGGGCTCTCAGCAAAACCAGACACCTCCCAGGCAAAGGGCTTGAGGCTGACAAGGGCCAATGAAGAGGACACTTATGTCTAACCATATGAAAAGCCTAGACGATAAGCATGTACATGTTCATATTATTCTGACAATCATGATGTTCTGCCTAGGGCACAATAGTTTTCACTATAATGAATAATACTGCAGTAAACATTCTGCTCATATAATACCTACATCACAGAACTGTACAGTTGAAAGAGACCACATATACTATCTAATCCAGTGGTTTCCCAATTACTATAGCTGAAATTCCTTTTTCCCATATAAAATCCTACATAGCATTTCTTTGTCCCTGCACCACTCCTATCTAATGTAGTGCCTTAGTTGTTTAGAGGAAGGAGAGAATTCTTCATTTTTTTTTGTAATGTTCTGTCTTTCATCCTGAAGGATTTCCTCCATTTTCAATTTTATCTGGGAGGTGCTTTTCACACTTCTTCACACCGACCTCACTCGTTAAAATCTTGAGCATGTAGTTGGAGATGTCCTACCAATAGTTATGTTGGCAGTTTCCAAATAGGGAGAGTATTCTTGATAAGCAATCTCATCAGCAACCCTCATGATCCTCCTTCCCCAAGCCTAGATCAGTCATTCCCTGGATCTCAGAGGCTTTTATTTTATTTAATAAGGTACTTACAAAGAAAGGCATCGAACTTGATGTAGAAGGTTAAAAAATTCCTAACACAGGCTATTTTTATTATTTTCAAACAGTGTAGAATGATGTAAGCACAAAATTGCATCTATATCGTAATTTTCTTTCTCAAATAAGACAGTTTGGAAAAATATTTACTCTTCAAATCAGAGGATAATAGCATCTGTGTACTTAGAGCTCAAAATTGGAATATTTATCTAACAGTTCTGAACATTGTGTATATGAAAATCGTTTCTTGTTATTGTTGTTGCTGGTTTGTTGGGTGGGGGTTGGGGGAATGGGAGGGTGTTCTACTAGCTCGTGGTTGTATTTTCTACCATCTCAAACTAAAATAGAAATGTGTATTGGAGAACACAGAAATATTATATTTTCTTGCAAAGGTGGTCACCTAAAACTAATAGGAAGGTTTAAAAATGTTGAGTATTTAATATTGTCTTCAAGTGAAATAGTGAGACAAAGATTTATTTTCTTACTCTTTTCTTTGTCTCACTCTCTCCTTTGTCACATAAACTGCTTTGTTTTTCATATAGCTCAGTGCCTGCCATTTAGTCATCTATATATGTTTCCTTTGGAGCAAGCAAATAGAATGTTTTCTTGGCTTTTGTGTTCAGCCGGAGCAGGACAAGGAAATAATTCCAGCACAAATATTTGGCTGTCTGGATCTTTTCCACAAAACAAAAATAGAAAGTAGAAAAGATTTTAAAACTTAGCTCTCAGGAGCAGTTGTCTGGCAAACATTATTGCATCTGCAAAGTAGTCCTTGAAGAGACAATCCCAGGAGAAGCCATCCCCCTGGTTTACATGGCTTACAGGTGAAAACAAAGTTTGCTTGCATACTTGCTTGGCTTTCTCCAAACATCTAGTAGTCACAGTAGATGACTGGTAGGCAGAGGCTTTAGTATCCAATCAAAAAAGATACTCACACATCTCAATTCTTAGGTATTATTTCCATATCTCCAAGCTGGTCTATACAGTATTCAAAGCAAAATTCTCTGTTGAAATTATTATATAGATATATACATATAATACTACTTCCCTCAAGCAAAGCAAAATAATTTTATGATTGAATCCATATCATGCCCATACATAAAAATGCAAAGGGAAAATTTCAATGATCAAAATCAGCATTTCCAAAACTTACTTACAAATTATAAAAAATTAACTAAAGTCAAACAGTATAACAGGAGTTGTAATGCAACCTGCAATCTTGAATTTAGGAAAATGCAGAAGGCACTGATAATACATTTGACACAGCATGATAGGGGAGAGATTGTATGTTTTTCTCCTCTTTGGGTACATCCGCTCATATGAGGCAATGAACAGCAACCTGCTTGACTGAGGTGTGGTGCAGCTGGATCTCAGAATGACTTGGGTGTTTGTTCAAACCAATATAAACTTTTATTGTCACACAAATCCTTGATTTAGTAGGATTATTAACCCAGCAGGGATTATGGAGAGGAGAAAATTTCTGATTTGATCATAAACCCATTTTGTTTTACACGTGCCTTTAAAATATTTGCCATCCCTTTATGAATGAGAGTTTTGATGATTAGCATGGCAGATGTCATGTATCTTCTAAAACGGTTTGAAGGAAGGAACTAGAAACTAGAACTAGGAGTTTTAGTTAGAAGAAGAAAGCATTTCTACTAAGTTTGAGGTATTGAGTGTGAGATGGCAAAATTATCCAGATTGAATAGCTGCAGAGTTGAACAAATAGAAAATTAATATTTGTAGTCTCTTCTTAGTTGATTTAAAATAACTTATTCATTATCAAGTTTCAACTGAGCCTAGAATATGTCTCCAAGGATGAAAGACTGGAGTTCCCCCTCACATATGGTCAATTTTATCTCTAGGTTACCTAGTGCATCAAACGGGCTCTTAGACTAATCTAAATACAGAACTTTGAATATTAGTTCTTATTTGATTTTCCCAATGAAGTTCTTCATATTTGGTTTGGAAATTTCCCTCTCATGCTGCTTCTTCCAGCATTAACTGATGGTGCACACATTAACAGTACTCCATTTGTTATTATCTTTGATTAATAGACGGAATAACCCCTCTTTTTCTGTTTCCTTCCTGCAAGCTATCTCCTCACTAATATATCTCTCGCGCGCGTGCACGCTTTTCTCTCTGTGTGCGTGTGTGTGTGTGTGTTCCTCTGCTTCTCTTACTAAATCATTTATTTAACCTTTGAGGAATTTCTGTGATATTAACCTTTGAGGAATTTCTGTGATATGACTCTGGTAGTAGTTGTTTTTAAAAATCTCCTTAAAACAAAATTGATTAACTATAAGTAACAGAAAAAAAAAAATCTCAGACGACATTTTCTACAAATTTTACACGCAATTCAGAATCCAGCATATTACTTTATGGGGAAATACTAGAGACTTTCCAACAAAAGACAAGAGAGCCCACTATCAGCACATCTGCTTAACATGGCATTGAAGCTATTATCCAATGCAATTAGAGAAATCCGTTAAAGGACAAATAGTGAAAAGCAAGAGATAAAACTAGTATTATTAACAGCTGTTATGATATGATTGAACTTTTCAAAAATCCAAGAGAATCTATGAAAAAAATTGTTTTTATCTATGGGAACTTAGTGAAGGAGAAGGTTATAAAATTAGCAGTTAGAAATTATTAGTCTTTATGTATACAAGCAATAGCCTGTTAGAAATACGAGAAAAGTCTCATTTATAATAGCAAGCAAAAATAGTTAAAAAAGAAAAATAGTTAAAAACCTGGTTAAAGCCTTAACATAACAATACCTTTAAAAAGCCTTAACTTTAAAACATTACTGAGAATTACACACTGTACTTTAAAAAGATTAAATTATCATGTTTCCAACTAAAGATTCAACATCATAAATATATGCATTTACTGCTAATTTATAAATTAACATAATTCTAACAGAATTCTGGAAATGTTTTAAACTAGAAATGATTATTAAATTGATATAGCAAAACAAGCAAGCAATAATAGCCATGATAACAGCAATTCATGCAGTAACAACAGTTCATAATAAAAATTCTCACCAAACTAAGTAAAGATGGAAACTTTTTAATGTAATAAAGAACAAGCATGGGCAGTGGGGAAGAGGGTTCTATAGTTAACATCATACCTAATACTGAAATATTGAAGACTTTTTATTTAATATTAGGAACAAGGCAAGGATGCTTACTCTCATCCTCTATTTAATACTATCCCGGAATTCACAGCCATTATAACAAGACAAGGAGAAAAAAATAAAAAGCAGAAAGATTGAAAAGGAAGAAGTAAAAATGTCTTTATATTATGAAACAAGATTATTTGTGAAGAATAGCCATAGAAACTTTGAAAAAGAAAAAAAACAATGTCAGTGAGCTTGCTTTTATAATTTAAAATATGTGTTGATGCGTGAGGAAACAGAACAATGGAATAGAATAGGAATTCAAACGACATATTCAAATACATGCAGAAATGTAGTATGTTATATAAACAGGCATTGCAAATCCCTGGGGAAAAGATGGAATTTTTGATACAAGCAGCTTTCACTTTGCACGGTAGTAGGGAACATTAAAAACGACTGTTGAAGCTAACATCAAACAAAGCAATCTTAGTAGTCAGTGGGAAAAGGATAATTTTTGCATGGTTTTTAAAAGTATTTTTCTCAAAGCATTAAAAATTCTCTTAATGTGGGTTATAAGTGTACCAAGGAATAAAAAATAGTAAAAGCAATATTTATTTAGTACACTAACTTAAGACATTAGAAACATTGAGAAAGTTGAATTTCTTTATAAACATTTATCAAGAGTAGTTTTTAACAGTGTTAAGCTTCTTCTTATTGGCATATAACTTACAAAATATCGCTGAGAGTTCTAATGTGATTTTCCTTTTCTGGCATCAGTTCTTTTGGTACATTTTCATACTTTTCATCACAATGATATTAGTCATTTATGTCATCAAATACCTTTGGCTGTGTATGTGAAATCTCTCAACTGACAGAAATGTCACCATTCCCACAGTCAGCTATTTCTTCTATAACTCCATTTATGTTTGATTCAAATTTACTTACAGCATTTTCACTTTTCTATCTCATTTTCATCCTTGTTGGCCAATTCTTTCTCAATTATCCATTTTTGTAAAATATCACCAGGACTTATCAATAGAAGAAGACATGAGGGTAGCACAACTATACATTTTGCTGTTGTATTTGAACCTAATAATAGATGTACAGTGACCAATTATTGACAGCCTTTGAAAGAAGTAGTGTGATTTGTCACTGATCAAGATGTGCATCTCTTGATGTACTTCTATTATTTATATAGTAGCTTGTAAGCTAGCAGCAAAGCTTGTACTTTATGTAATTACAGCTAATATACTGTGTTAACGGAAACTTTAGCCATGTTATTGGGGGACAGTGTTAACTAAACTGTGTAAACTTAAATCCATACATACTGAATCCATGAAAACTGGGATTGACTGTAATCAATGCTGGTGTAACTGGTTAGTCATTTGAGAAAGATAAAAACATCTTCATATCTCACTTCCATACTAGGATAAATTCTACAATAAAGACCACAGATGTCAACATAATAAAATGAATGTCACATATAACTAGAAGAAAATATGGATGAATTCCTTTGTAACTTGGGTGTGGGAAATATTTTCTAATCATGGCAACATAAAGAATAATGAGAGAAACGATTAATAGATTTTTATTTTAAAAAACACAAAATAAAACACAGAAAATCTCTATAAACAAAGGATAAATTAAAGAATTACTAAAGACATTTCCATTAATGTCATGTACAAAGAACTCCTGTAAATCAAAAGGGAAAAGACCAACTCCCTAAGGAAAGGGGAAAAGATGTAAATAGAGCATACAATAAGAAATATTTGTTTCTTAAAAGAAGATTATTGGGCTTATGAAAAAGTGCCCAGATTAATACATAATAAAGTAAATAAGAATTTAAGCTGTAATGAGATATTAATTGTCACCCATTAGATTTACAAAAATAAAAAAGCCACGTAAATCTGTTCAGGAGGACAGGTGGAAGCAGAAACTATCATATATTGCTGATGGGGTTTCAACATGCTACAGCCCTTAATGGACAATGCTTTGGCAGTATTCAGTAAAATTGTAGATGTATTTACCCTTTGATTAATTAATCTAATTTTTAGAAATTGTTTTCAAAAAATTGACAAAAATTGGCCAGAATGACTTAAGCACAAGTTATTATTTGTAGCATATGTATAAATGCAAAAGGTTAACCTCAAATGTTCTTGAATTAAGGACTGGTGAATAATCTATGCTACATCCATTCAATAAAATACTAAGCAGGCATCAAAGAATAAAAAAGATTTCTATATATTGACATGAGTGATCTCCAGGATTTCTTGTTATCTGAACAAATAAAATGTCAGAAGAGTTTATATCATTTGCTCTACTTTTGTAAGAAATGGGAAGGAGGGAAAGGAATGCAAATGAGACTTCTCTGATTATACCTTGTTTTATATATATATATATATCTGATTCTGAAAATTTAGATGTTTTATTTTTAAAAAATAACATTAAATCAAATTAATAAAAATAAATAACTAAAAATTGAAACAGAAGTAAATGAAGCTAATTGTACATCAGGTTGGTAGCATTATTTCACAGAAAAAAATGATTTTGAGTGACTTTAAAGATACTTTTCAATGTGTTTCAACACATTGTATTAATTGGCCGAAGATGGGGCAATGTATGGGAGAAAAAATAGTAAATATAATTTATAGAAGTTTTTTATGATTGACCATGAATTCATAACAATATTAAAGGTGCTGAAATCATAAACAACAATACGTAGCAATAATAAACATCAACACTTTGAGTACTATAGAGGTAATTTGGACATCAATATTTTGCCCTCAAAATTGGTGGTTAGAAAGAACAAATTAAGAATTTCCTGTTCTTTTCCTATATAAACTGCAATTAAGGGTAAATAGACAGTCTAACTGATGAGAAATGCTCTTTATCGAAGGCTTCCAGTTGGTAAATATGAAAAGAATGATGGAATTATAAAAATGCCATTTGGCAATAAATAAAATAATTGATTATGATTTAAATGAAAAGTAACACTTCATATAAAATTGATGAAAAATTTAATGGAATTATCATGCTGTCTTGAGATGAACTCTTTGATCAGTCTTCATATCACTAAAATGAGACATTGTTTGCCTCCTGAAGTGATGCATTATGAAGCATATAGTACCAACTATGAAGCATTCTTCCCCGAAAAAGAATTCCTTTATACATAGCACGTTGTCAGTTACTGTGTTTGCTCTATTTTCTCTTGCTATTCAGAAAAGATATGGAAAACATTTCCATACTTACTTAAAGTTCGCCCTATTTGGTACTGGTACATATGGAGCACAAATCAGGGACTCTTGTCTAGATTCTGACAAGACTCTATTGAGATTCAGAAGAGCAGCATTGGCATTACTGGGTTTGATTTGAAAATGCATACAATGGTGACATTGGACATAGACTGACAAACCTGCCTTTTCTGGCTATTGCTCATATTCAGATTTTGGTTATAACTCAAGTCAGCTGCTGCAAATATACAGAATGTGAATCAAAGTCACAGGTGGCCAACATACCCAAAGTTTAATTTTAAAAATACTGTATGTTTGTTGTTATCTGCTGAGAATAGATGGCTTTGCAGATGTTTATTTGAGTTTGGAGGGAAAAACATTCTAATTCTTTCAAAGATCTTCCCTTTAAGAATATGATAGAGGATCTCAACAACAGTAAAATAAAGTTGCTGCTAAATGAAGATACCAACTGGACATATTCTTCTGGTCAGCTTTTTCAAGTTCAGCATTAGAGATGGATTCTTTTGATGGAAAGCAAGACTTTAGAGGAAATATGCAATCTATTCTCTTCATTATAGAGGCGAAAACTGGATTTTGAAGAGGTTAACTGATGTACAAATTCAATAGTGGCTCGATAAAGACTAATATCTCAATATACAGTCCCCTCTCCTAACCTCTAAACTCCTTCTCTCAGTAATTTACAATAATGATTGCTGCAAATTTTCTTTGGCTTTCATCCTTTTTGTGAGACTGTTAATTGAATGGTTCTTCTGAAGATAGATTCTGATCTATTGAACATACTTAGAGAGTAATAAGGTTGAAAGAATAGGCTGTTTTATGTGCAGAATCTAAGTTGCAGTGATTTAGTAGAAGCATATATTATATAGGAATAATTACTCTTTTCTTACACATAATAGAAGAAAATTATGTGAATATCTGTGGAATGTTATGGAATCTTGAAGAAGTTAGAAATATTATTTCCTTCTATTTTGGAGATGGAGGTAAGGGATATGTATATTTATATTTTGTTTGTTTTACATTAACTTAGCCCCTCTGATTTGAGTTAATTAGCAGAGATGACATAGAACTAGAATTGGAATAATTAAATCATGTTATTGCTTTCAGCATTATATTCCATAAACCAGGTTCATTTTAATGCCTAAGGCACATTCTGCTACTCTGATAAATTAGGCTAAATTAACAAAAAAAATTGGATATTTATTTATTTAGTTTTTGAGACAGAGTCTCACTCTGTTGCCCAGGCTGGAATGCAGTGGCGCAATCTCAGCTCATTGTAGCCTCCGCCTCCCGGATTCAAGAGATTCTCCTGCCTCAGCCTCCCAAGTAGCTGGGGTTAGAGGCATGCCCCACCACACATGGCTCATTTTTGTATTTTCTCACAGCAATTACTGTAACCTAGTCATTCTGAAGATGGGGGGTTAGTGTGGGGTAAGGGCTACTGATAAGGAAGCTCACACAAAGAAGGGCCAACAAAGAAAAAACCAGAAGGTGCAATCAGTGTAGAAGGGGAAGAAACCAAAAATACAATTTTGTCCTTTGCTAATTTCCTCAGGAACTTACAAGAAAAACTGAATTTAGTGTTTGAAAACTGACAAATTTCAAGTGACCTCTTTGGTATAGTTGCATTAGATGGCAAGTGATTCATTTATTGTATTAGTTGGATCTAACATACCACCATGCAGTGTGATTTAGCAACACAGGAGGATAATCTAATTGTTATTATTTGGACAGGTTATTAACTTCCTAACCCTTTTCCCCCGTCATTGGTGATCATAGTAACAAATTGTAATGAGTCATGAACTATTTTGGGGGAAATATTGAGCATCGTTGATGCTAGAAAATTTATGGATTGCCAAATGGTTGGTCTCTTGAAAATACCCAAGATTCATGTAATACTAGAAAGTAATTATTCAATTTATTCATCCTTACAACTTTAGGAATATGGGTATTTTCATTCCTCACCAAATCCTGTATTTTGCTTTCTTAATTACATTTTTAAAAAATATTCATGCATTTCGGCTACTTGCACAGCAGCTCTGGATGCATTTTTATTTAAATTTAAGTTAATTAATCTAACTCAAAATGGACTTGAAATATTAGCTGAAGACTGAAGTAATTTTGCAGATTGTATTTTCAAAAATAATTTCAACCATACTTCTTAATTCTATGTATAGGTAGGATTTGTATTTCATAGGTCTAATCATAGCTCATTCAGTTTAGCAAAACTCACCACCCCCAAACAGAAGTGATTTAATTCTAAGATTAGATTCCAATAAATAAGTGATAATTATGCTTTTAAAAATTTCAACACAGAATAAGTTTTATTTTGAAAGACACTGGGTCAAGAATCTAGCCAGGCAGGAATTCACAAGGTCATCACTTGAAAAGAACACTTATCTTTGCCACTTTGGGAGATCTGAAGGCATAGTGCTTTCAGACAACTCAAACAGAATATACCATCAAGAAGGGATTGACAGTTATTTCATGGAAGTAGGAGTCATAGAAGTAGGTCACCTGGCCTGGAGAAGAGTGGCAGAATTGAGGATGGAAAGGTAATGACCAAAAAAAAAAATTGAAAAGCATGGAAGAAAATTTGGAAATGCGTTACACCTGAGTAAATTACATTAAAAGTAGATTTTTTGGAGAAAAATACTTAAAAGAAAAATTGAAAATAGGCTTTATTAGTAGCATTAAGAAAATCTAAATTCCAGTTCTAGTTCTGTTTCATTTACTACTTAGTCACTTCTACTCTTTCTTTCTCTCTTTCTTTTTTCTTTTTTTCTTTTTCTCTTTCTTCCTTCCTTTCTCTCTCTTTCTTTCTCTCTCTCTCTTTCTTTCTCTCTCTCTCTCTCTTTCTTTCTTTTCTCTCTTTCTTTCTTCCCTTTTAAAAATAGGATCTTCCTTATTAAGGCCATTTTTATATTCACATTGTGACTCATATTATTTTGGGTTCTTGCCCTGTTTTTTTTTTATTTTTTCAATCATTTCTAGAAACCCACTCAGTATCTTGCCCATAGTCTTTTAGGGAACCCTTGAAGATCCCAGGAAACTTGACACATGCCAACTCCCATTGCTTAAGCTAGCCTGTCTCTTATTCTTTCTCTGGCCAGTGAATTTATCATTCAAGCCCAAGATTATATTTTTGTTAGTCTGGAAAATGTAATTTAATTCCTCATGTGTATCCACACTTATCATTCAGACATTTTCCAGAGTACTTACTACAAAACAGTCATATGTTTGCTCTCAGCCTTTTTTTTTTTGACATACTGAGTCAAGAAAAAACTGGGCAAGAAAAACTGGGCAAGAAAAACTGTTTACTTACTACATTAAAAAAAGCTCAATGTATAAGATAGTGTAACTTTTAAACAGAAATAATGGAATCCAGCACACACATTGATTAATTACAATTTTTATTTTGCGATTGAGATAAGCATATAGTTGTAAGAAATAGTACAGAGAGATCAGTCTTCCCTTAAGCCAGTCTTCCTCAGTGGTAACATTTTGAAAAACTGATATGGTATTACAACCAGGATATTAACATTAATATATTCAAGATATACAACATTTCCATCACCACAAGGATCCCTCATGCTGACCTTTTATAGACACGACCCCATTCCTTCTTAAATAATGGAAAAAAAATGTGTCTTCCATTTTATAATTTTGTCATTTCACAAATGTTCTATATATGTGGAATTATGCCTTGGTTTTTTGCGACCGTTTGAGACTGGCTGTTTTTACTCCGCATATTCTTCCCAATATTCATCCAGGTTTTTGAATGTATCAACAGTTTATTCCTTTTTATTGAGAGTAGTATTCAATGTGATGGATGTACCACAGGTTGTTAACCTTACACCCAAGGAAGGATATCTGAATGGTTTCCAGCATGGTTTCCAGTTTTTGACTATTACAAATAAAGGTGCTATAAACATTTACATACAGTTATTTTTGTGGGCATAAATAATCATGTTTCTGGGAAAATGCCCAGAAGTTCATTTGCTGGATCTTAACAAACAAACAAAAAAAACAAAAACAAACAAACAAAAAACCACTAAACTATTTTCCAGAGTAGTTGTATCATTTTGCATTCCCACCAGCAATGAAGGTAGTCCACTTTGACCATCTCTGTCTTTTGATTAGTATATTTAGACAATCTAAATATCATGTAATTATTTATATATTAGAGGTCAAATTTGCCATTTAAATTTTATTTTTTTGTTTGTTTTGTTTTTCATTATTTTGTTCCTAATACATTGAAAACATTTTTTAAAGTTCCCTTTTGATTATAGTGTCTTTGAATATACCTCTTATGATTTTCTAGTGATTGTTCTATGTTACAATATATGTTCATTATATAGACATAACTTATCATTGAATACTAGTGTTATGTCTTGTGATACTCTGACAATTACCGTTTTCCAAGTGATATAACCCTCTCCTCTAGTCTTTGACCTAGTATTCTGGTCTAGGCTGGAAAGGAGGAAGGTGACTACATAACTTTCCAAAACTGAAAAATAAATACACCACCTGTATTAAATTCATACTGTGGTTGCTTTTCTAGTACCCCATGCCCCAGATCAATAAATTCCACTACTTCCCCTTGTGAAGTACAGATACTCCTTGACTTACGGGGCTTTATTACACCCATTGTCAGTTAAAAATATTATGTCATAAATACACTTAACACACCTAACCTACTGAACATCACAACTTAGCCTAGCCTACTAGCTTACCTTAAATGTGCTTGGAACATTTACATTTGCCTACCATTAGGCAAAACCATCTAACACAAAGTCTGTTTTACAATAGTGTTGAATATCTCCTGTAATTTATTGAATACTGTACTAAAAGTGAAAAACAGAATGGTTGTTTCAATACTAGAAGTACGGTTTCTACTAAATGCATATTACTTTTGCAAGCTCTTAAACTAAAAAAAAAAAAAGTAAGTAGAACCCTCATAACTCGGGGATTGTCTGTAGATATTTGCTTTCGGTTAGGTTGATGTCATCTTGAAAATTCACTTTCTTCTTAACAGTCCTCAAGTAGTTTCTGTTTCTTGCATTTAATCCTAACTGAGACAACATTGTAAAACCTCTTTTTCAGTTTGTGGTTCATCTTTTGACACTGCGGAATTATTTTGACAAACTTTTTTTTTATTGTGTAGTTAAGTTTATAGCTTTTAAAAATGACTTCTGGTGTTCGTGTCATACTTAGGAAAGCATACTTCTTCGACTTTAATACCTTTTTTCAAGTTTATTGAGTTATAATTTACATACCAAAATCCACTTGTTTTATGTATATAATGATTTTTAATAAATTTACATGCTGTGTACTTCTACAATTTGACTTTAGATCATTTTCATCACCTTAAAAAAAAAAAAACCTTGTGCCTTTTTGTAAAAATTACCCCCTGCTGTAGTCAAACATTAATCTACTTTCTGTCATAGAGATTTCTTCATACAGATTTTGTCCATTTTTGTTGTTTATTCTTACATCTTTTTTGAATATGGAAATCTTTACTTACATTGTGTTTATTAAATAATTACTATTTAGAAATAGGAAAGTCAATTATTTTTAACAACTTTATTGAGATATAATTTATATACCATAAACTTCACTCATTTTAAGTATACAGTTTGATTTTTTTAAAGCATATTCAGAGTTGTGCAACCATCCTGCAGCCTAATTTTGAACATTTTTATCTTGCTAAAAAGAAACACAGTGCTCATTAAAAGTAACTCCCCATACTTCATCTTTTCATAGTTTATTGAGTGATTTTATCATGAAAGTGGTGCATTTTCCTGAATGCTTTTTCTACATCTTTTCAGCTAATTCTTTTATAGTTTTTGTCTTTTATGCTATTAATATGGTATATTAATTGATTTTTATTTGTAAGTCACACTTGGACATGGTGTGTAATCCTTCTTACATGTTGTTGGATTTAGTTTGCTAGCATTTTGTTAACGATTTTTGTCCTAAGATTTATAACAGATGTCATTCTGCAGTTTTCCTTTTTACACTGACTTTTTTCTGCTTTTGCTATTAGGGTGATATTTGACCTCATAAAATAAGTTGGAATGTTTTCCCTCATCTTCTATTTTTTCAGGAATAGTATTGATTCTTTAAATGTTTGATAGATTCACAAGTAAAGGCTTTTCTTTGTGTAAAGTTTTAAATGTATTAATTCAATCACTTTACTTACAGGTCTATTCAGATTTTGTATTTCTTCTTCCATCGTGTTTCACAGGCTTGTTTTTCTTGATGTTTTTCTTTTCATCTTTTTTTTTCTGGGAATTTTTCCATTTCATCCTAGTTATACAAATTGTTGGCATATGATTGTTCATTTTATCTTCTATAATACTTTTTTGTTTCTATAAGGTCAGTGGTGGTGTCCTCTATTTGATTCCTGATTTGGGTAATTTAAATCTTTCTTCCTTTTTTCTTGTTCAGTCCAGCTAAAGTTTTGTCAATTTTGTTGATCTTTTCAGAGAACTAACTTTTGGTTTCATCGATATTCTCTATTGTTTTTCTCATTTCTGTTTCATTTATTTTCACTCTGACCTTTATTATTTCCATTATTTACTTTGAATTTAGTTTGCTCTTTTTTTTTAGTTTCTTAAAATGAAAGTTTAGATCATTAGTTTGAGAAAACTTTTGTATTTTAACATAGAACATTTTTACGTCTGTATCACAGCTATACATTTTTCCCAAGCACTGCTTAGTAATATCAGGCACAGTGTACAAGCACTTTTATTCTTGTCTATAATGGAAATTTTTCTATTATTTCATCAAGATTTTTGGTTTTGACTCAAAATATGTAGAAACATATAGACACATACCAAATAATATTTATACATATTATGTTACATATATTATCTTGTTAAGGAAATGTCTAGATTACATCAAATATCCTTCATGATCTTATAAAATAACTATATAGTTTATATTAGTATTTCACTATCCATTCCATTTAGCTGAGCTGAAGCTATAAGCTGCGGAGATACTGAGAAAGTAGATACCTGAAATTATCAATTTGCGAGTCCCCAAACTCAGGAAGGGAGTTCACTTGTTGGCTAACAACACTAATAAACAGAACAACAAAAAGCAAATGTCCAAGTCAACATAGACATAGCCAAAGCCTGAATGAAAATTAAAACTGTTGAAGTCATACCATTGTTAAAGATTATCTGCAAGGATTATCACTAATCCACTTGGAATTGTTCTTCAGATATTTAGGTATTATTTCAAGTATAAAACCATCAAAAAGCACACCTTGTAAAGGATAAGGGTATATTAAATAAAGCATTTTAGAGATATTATTGATAACAAAAAAGGTAAAACTATTTTCTAAAAAAAGGAACTTTATTCTTCAGACATAATAAAAGATACAAGACACAAAATAATTCGGTCTCTTATGAGTTGGAATTGATTAGACAAATTGTGTGAGTCTCAAGAAGTTTACATACAGACATTTTGGCTCAATTTCTCATTTTATTTGAGATGGAAAGAATCTGCTTTTGCCAATCAATAAACTGTAATGTATCATCTGAATTTAAAGGAGAATGACCTCCTATTGCTAGCTCAATGTCCTGCTGTTCCCCTTGCTCTCCAGCCATGAGAACAGCAGGTACTATTTCCCCTCAGATTGACATTCATATAGAAACATTAATTGCCGAATAGGTGGTTAAGATACTCTTGCTCTTCTTCCACAGACTGTTGAATGACCTCCTCTGCTGTCTTAATAAGTAGTGATTCTATAGTTTGTGCAGAACTCTAAATCTTTCTACTTTAGGCTCATTACTCTGCTACTGCTTGAGTATTTGAGTAAAACAGACCCAAGTAGGAGTCATCTCAACGCACAGATGGTACTGAGTTCATTTTAGTTCGTTAGCATTTGGAATTAATCTAAAGTCTTTTTTTGTAATTCAATAATAGTGATAGCTATTATTTATTCTTGCTAGTCTAAGGGCATTTTTTCTAAGTCATTTAATCCTATGAGTTGTACACTATTATCTTTTTTATACAATAATGAAATTCAGGCTTACAGAAAAAAAAATAATTTTCTCAGGATCTTACAGCTCTTCACAGGCAAAGCCAGCTTTCAAACCCAGAGTTTTAGAGACTATTCTGTTAATCTCTAAACTCAGATTATTTCTAACACTTTTCTCTTATCCCTTCATTAGTTTTTACTTGCTATTGGTTTAGGAGTTTCACTAAGAAGAAGGAAATGAAAAAAGGAGAGGAAACTCAAATGAATTTATTTTCCAATCACAGGAGAGAAGTAACAAGCAAATGTTCCAGGTTTTAATATTTTGTTTATTTTCAAATAAATAATTATCATTTTTGCAAACCAGCAAAAACTGATTAATGTCTACCTTTCCCATTGATGTCACTTCATTTCATTGGGATGTAAAGAATTTCAGCTTTGGAATATTAATAAATATCAAAGTCATGGCAAGGGAGACTAAGCTTTATCTATTAACATCTTCACTGACAGGGATTTAAAAGCAAAATATTGAAGGAAAGACATGGATACAGAATCATTTGCGTTTATCCCCCATGTTTCACTATACTATGCTCAAATGAGAGAAGCAAAAGGTTTATTTCCCTGGAACCTAACAGAATAAACGTAACTTATTTCATTCAACAAATACTTATTGAGCATCTAGTATATTTGAGGCATTAGAAATACAGTCATACAGACCCCAAAGCATTCAAGTCTGAATCTGTTAAGGTGTATCTCTCTAGATTTTGTATGAAATTTAACTTTAAGAAAGATATGACCAGATTTCATCTTTTTGGTAATCAAATCTTCCTAAGGGTTGAATTTATCATCATAGATCACTGTGAGGCAAATATGGCTTGCCTTAATACATGTTATACAAAAAGAAGCCTGAGATTGGGTTATTATTGTTCTTGTAGAGAGTCAGAGAGTGGCTATGTCAGAGAGCATTATGGGGACAGTTAATTATAAGTGATTTAAAAATTGATAGAAGCAAATTATAAAATTAGCCATTGTTCTCCATTTAATATAAAAACTGAATGTAACAACTTTTAATGAAAGAAAATAGAATTCTTTGGCTTTATAACTACTTTATATATTACTGTTGTATAGGTATCATTTTCCCTGCTTATAGACAGATCTTCTAGCTCAGGAGCATGATATGTTACATAATTTCACGGTGACACATTTTACTTGAACTGGAATAATACCTGCTCTGCTTTAAAATCACATGGTTCAGATCAATCTGCAAGAGGCTAATATTGTGACTAAAAAGTTTATATAGAGAATGAGATAAGATAAATTAAAAAATTATTTTGAGGCCTTTGAAATACCAGCCAAATGCTAGTAACTATTATAAAAGACCTTTTAAAGGTCACACAAAGTTAGTGGAGAGTCAGAAAGATCAAGATTCCAATTTTCTAGATTGAGCTATTTCTATCACACAACACATTTATAAGCACACAGCCTAAAAGATGCATGAGGCACAATAAATAAGCTTTCTTAGCACAGTAACTTAATTTTCAAAACTTCATTCCCATTCTATGAGAGTGACTCAATTTGCCAGTGCATAGACACACTGAAGATTTTAAAGTTAAAGAAATAGGCAATGGTTTTAAAAATCTGTCCTTCATGTGGCCCAGACATGAAATAGGTTGTGAAATGAAATCCCAAAAACATTGCAGCTTTGAACAATGAATCACGAACCATTTGTTTCTGTGTTGAAACTTAGCTTTTAAGAAGGAAATTTAAAAAACTGTAATTACAGCTTACAGAAGCAAAAAGGCAAAAAAAATGATGTTTATTCAGCTTAATGGGATTTCTTACTGAACCAATATCACATTATGGGAAGGTTGTTTTTCCTCTTCATTAGAAGACTATACGCATAAACCAATAACACCAGTGCAAAATTATGAATGTGTCGTACTAACCTGCTACTTGATTCAATTGTCAAGCTCTTAAACACTTGAATTATGTGCAAAAAGCTGAAAGACAGATTTTTTTTTTAGGAGGGAAATATGTGAGATGTCAGGAATGCATGAAAGTCTGTCTTGAAACTAAGATGTGGAAATACTACAGGCCATTTCCACTTCAATCACTCTACATTGAGTGAAGCAGAAATCGTCACTTGATTAAACTGGTTTCTTCATCTCATTGCTTAAATAAATGAAATCTGCAAAATAGTTATTTAGTATAAACCAGAAAAAGGCAAGGTCTTTTAAGTAATTCCTTTCAAAGTCGTTACTTATTATTTTGCTTGATATAACTTATGATTATATTTGGATTTGTGTATAATATGAATGTTTTATAATACCTATACAATACATATGTTACAACTTTACCATTGTTTCTAAGCAAAGATATATAGTAAGGTGACCACAGCCTTGTGGAAAGTAATCTTAAATATTAGTTTAACTGTGTAAGGGTTACAGTTTGTTGAAGTCATAAGATGTAAGTGTTGATTACTTTTAAATTGTAATTTTGGGGCCCCGAAATTTGATAGTACCCTAGTTGTAGGGCTTTCTATTGCTTTTTCCATATTATTCAATACTTTGATCATACTAGATTATATTTTCTAATTTCCAAAAGTATTCTTTATTACTCAGAATAAGAAATGCCACCTGCTATGAAATTTCAGTGGCCTTGCATATAAACAAATTGTGTCTTTTCCTCATTTCTGTTGAATAGTTAAAATGTCTGGTGAATCTAGGCTGCTTCTGTCTCTTAATAGTGCCATCTTGAAAACACGGCCTCCATGGTAATCACAGAAGGAAAAGAGTGTGGGCTTTTTGGGAGATTTTTATGGCAGACTTCAAAGGTGAACATATTACTTCTTCCCACAATCCACTAGCCAGAATCCTCTCACATGGCCACAATCTAATTTTGAGGGAAGCTCAGAAATAGTCTTCCTCTGTGTTCAGGAAAAGGAAAGAGGAATGGTGAGCACATAACTATTTTCTGTCGCAATCCCTGAACAACAAATCTGCAACTCCTGAACATTTCAGATTGTCATCAGGACTCTTGAAACCTGGTAATGAGCAGGAGGAAGAGTTCTTGGGGCAGATGAATGTAGCGGGTAGAGCAGATAAAGAGATTTGATAAACAAGAGCCATCAGTCCTTATCTGCCATAGTGTCAACGATCCCTTTCTTCCTTCTGTCTTCCCCACTAGCCACCCTTCATGATACTTAAAAGCGTCCCCTTTGATTAACTTTGGGACACTTTGGTTTGGTTCATGGAGAAAAAAGATTTTTCAAGGTTTCTAAATATCTTGACTTCTACTTCATGAAGAAACCAGATCTTCTTTGAGGGGGCAGCAGTAGAGCAGAAAGAAAATATGTCCAGAATTTAAACTGTTAATAGAAATAAATGCTTATTTATGAATGCTTATGAGATACTGATGTACACAATACTGAATCACTATTAATAAGCTGCATATTGAAAGGAACTTGGAAAGGACTGTGTGGTCATATTGAGTCCTGCTAAGAATCTTAGTGAGCTGATGAATCGATATTTCAAAAAATGGAAAAATGAAAATTAAATTAGAAATAAAAATTAACAACAACTGAGAGCATTTCAAAACTAAATTTCCATCTTATCTTGTCCTTCCAAAGACTCCAGTGATGAGTATTGTTGTGAATGGAAGAAGTGATTTTCTTTTCAAAGTTTTCCATTCAGTAAGATGACAAAGGTATCTGAAATTACAGATCTGAACTCACCAAGAATCAATGCTTTTCCTGCTGGCAACTTAGCAGCTTTTGTAATTCATGTGACAGTTTCATTTCCCCACTGCCACAGACAATCGACATGTTACTCCATCTCTCAAGCAAATCTTAAAAAAGAAAAGGTTTTCAGTTTTACTTTTTAGTAGATATTAACATTCTCCAAACAAGGCATGGTGGTAATGACAGACTATAGTTTCAAGGCTTTGACAACATACTGCTTTGGATGATGTAAAACAAAAAGTTATCAATGTGGCTTTGTCAACATGTCTAATAATTGTCTCAACAGAACAACTGATAATTTAAAATCTTTAAGAGACTTTTTAAAAAAGGAGTCTCCTTAGCACAGGATCAGGTGGGCATAAATGAAAGTAGACATTTGCTTATCCCTTGACCATTACTGTTCGAGAGTTATTTTTCTTGCTTAGAGAATAAAATAGAAAAGCTTTTACAAAAGACTTTTCACACTTTGTCCCGTCTAACCTCATCTTTTTGTCATCCTTTTGCAACCCACATACCTTGAACATAAACCGCACTGAATTTACACTTTCAGGAATGCACCATGATCTTTCACAGCTCCAGGTCTTTCTGCACAAGCTATTCTCTCAGCCTGGAATATGCTGTGTCAGTCAGAATTAGTTAGATTATTTTGTAATAACAAATAACCTTACACACATCAGTGTATTAAAAAAATAGGAATTTATTTTCATGCATGCAACATGGGCTGGGGAGGCTCATCTCATTGTAGTCACTCTGGTTTCAAGACTGGGAGAAACTTTATTTCAACATGTGCTTCCATGATCACTGCAGAAGTGAGAAAGGATTATGGCAAATTGTGTACTAGCTGTTAATTTTTTTACCTAACAGCCATAGTCATCCATTGAACTCCTATTTTATTGGCCAAAGAAAAGCAGATGGTTATTTCAAAATTGAAAAAGGGGAGAAGTGCAATCCTAGCATGGAAAGAAGAAAGCCAAATATTTTTGATGAAGTGCTAATAGCTACCACAGCAACCTTTTCAGCAGGTGAAGTTTCACTCACTTTTCCTGACCAAATGTTACTTCCTCTGAGAAGCCTGCCATGACATCTCAAGACAACTAACTGCTTCCTTATCATTACCCCTCAAATATTTTGTACAAATTTTCTTGGAATATTCAATATATATTATAATAATCTATTATCATGCCTGTATCCAGAATTATATTAAAAATTCTGTATCATATTTTTCTACCAAATTCCTGGTGCAGTTGCAGCACATGTTGGATGCTTGCTAAACGCTCATTGGATGTTTATTTGCACATTTTCTTCATTAGACCATAAGCTCACTGAGGACATAGACTATGTACTTATTATGTACCACAATAATCCTAGTGTCTTGCAACAATACTTGGCACTAGTGGATACTCATTATATGTCAGATAAATAAATTAATTGATTAATTATCTTTGTTATTATAACATGGCATATTAATAGGGTAGACTAGATCATGCTGCAGTAACAAAACTGCTCCAAAATATTAGATAAATTCAGCAAAAGTTTATCACTTGTTCATTTTACATATTCTGCACGGGCGAGAAAGGGGCTCAGACCTATGCTGATCTAGGACCGACTGTCTCATCGCTGGAATATCTGTAAGTCTAAGGCCTTTTAAGTTATCCTGGCAGAGGAATAGCAACCACAATAAAATATAATAAGTGCCATGTGCTATGAAAATTATAGCCACCTCCCACCAACACACACACACATGCACACGCGCGCGCACACACACACACACACACACACAGAGAAACAAGTAAAGGAGAGGGATCGCCTTGTGTTTGTTATCATCTAATAATGGCAGGGTCCACAAATCGTGACATCATCACATCTCTTTAGAGCTCAGAAATGTACCTTCCAGGAATTATTAGGCACACAATCAACTACAAAAAGCAGTGCCTTTGTAATAGCTAAATCGTATTCTTTGAAGTTAAATGCATATTTGGAAGGCTACCACCCAGACTTCTTGAAGGGTCTCAGGGTGAGAATCTAAGCAGTTTTTACCTTAGGAATCAGATAGTTCTGCACTTATATGTTCTATGGTCTGATGTGCCGATCTATTAGGAGTCTAAGAAAATAAAGGTGCCAAGAGGGGCAAATTAGTTCAATGACAATACTTTCCATCCGATATGGTTTTTCTGCATCCCCACGCAAAGTCTCATGTTGAATTGTAATCCCCACATGTCAAGGGAGAGACCACGTGGAGGTAACTGAATCATGGGGGCAGTTTCCCCCAAGCTGTTCTCATAATAGTGAGTGAGTTCTCACGAGATCTGATTGTTTTATAAAGGGTTCTTCCCCCTTTGTTCATTCACTCTTCTGTCTCCTGCCGCCATCTGCCACCATGTGAAGAAGGTCCATGCCTGCTTCCCCTTCCACCGTGGTTGTAAGTTTCCTGAGGCCTCCCTAGCAATGTGGAACTGTGAGCCAATTAAACCTCTTTCCTTTAAAAATTACGCAGTCTCAGGTACTTCTTTATAGTAGTATGAGAACGGACTAATACACCATCCAAGAGACGAATGCTCTCAAGACACCTGGCAATGTTATCTGAGACATCTAGGACATTAATAGATGAAATAACAACAGCAGGGATTCAATTGTTAGATGATTCCGAAATCAAAGTGTAGATGGAAATTTTTGCTACATTGTTTCGAAAATCATCTCCTGAGAGGACAAAATTAATAACAAAATATAACTCAGCATTTTACTATTGATGATAAACTTTGTTCCTTGAAAAAATCGTTTGCCATCCTGTGAAGGTTTTCATATGACCCAACCATTTAAAGGACACATCTCACTAAGCTTCTGAACTTGAAAGTTGACTATAGATTGAGCAATCAGAGTAATAAGGACTTTTAAATAAATTCCACTTCTAGTTATAGTCAATTAAAACTCATCTCATTGATGTAATTTTGCATTGACTTATAAGGAAATAAATTAGCACTTTGAAAATAGTTTATTTTCCTTTGAATCTCCAAAAATTTTCAGAATATTTTACCTGGGGGTGTCAATAAATGAATGATAATAATAAATGATATAATAATGACATATGATATATGATATAATAATGATATATGATATAATATATGATATATGATATAATAATAATAAATGATATAATAAATGAATCCTTTTGAAGACCTGAATCTGTACTTTCAATAAGTGTTACTGGAAAAATTAGTATTACTCCAGGCCTAGAGTGTTTGAACTAGTGTTTGTGAATGATTGGAGTGTAAGTGATATTAAAATTAGATATGGCTAAGAAAATTTCTACCATTCACCAAAGCAACCTTTAAACTATGAAGCAGAATTTTGAAAATGAGAAAAATAAAAGAACTAGAAGGTACCCTAAGAGATTATTTTATTTATTTCCAGATAGAGATCTACTATCTATATTCCTGGCAGAAGTAGTGTACTTTGGTAAGGAACAGATAAGACTTTTGAAATAACTGGACTTGAACCTTTGTTCTTTCATGGCCTGAATTTGAGTAAAGGCATTATTTTTCTGAACCTCAGTTCCCTTATTGTAAGATGGAGACAATAGTGTATTTCTCAGAGAATACATTTAAATATCAAATGAGACAAATTATCAGAAAGTACTCTTTAAAGTCTAAATTTCCATAAAATTCATTTATTAATTTAGCTAATGTTTGCACAGTACTCACTCTATGCCAGTCGTTGTCCTAGGTACCACGTGTTAGACAGACACACTAATCCATATGGTATATGGTGTGAATGTTGATTATGTAAGTTCTTATCTTTTAAATTAGGCTTCTTAAATTTCCACAAGATTAGAGAAATAAAAGCCTCACTTTTCAGGAAAAGTTGCATTTTGAGGCTCTTTTCATTGCTTTTGTCCTTTTGTTTCCCTTTGGAAGGTTTTATATTTATAAAGCTGTCCCAGCTGTCCTCTGAAGTGACTCATCATAGCGTCTTCCACAGTAGGACATCCTCTCAACTCCCCTAAACTCATATAGTCTGTACTTTTTCTTGGCAATTCACTCCACTATGAATAGTTCTGTCCAGAAGTCCTTTTATAATAAGGAGTCTGACTCAATTTTTTAATGTTTAGATAACATTTAAGCCTTACTCTTTCTTTTTCCTTTTTTACTCCACATCTGGGCAAGCTGATAAAAAAAAAAATCCCAGATCTTCCCTCCTTTAGAAGAAAATTCAAACCATATAAGCCCCCTCCGATCACTCCTTAATCACCATAAAAACTGTAAGCCAGCCTCCTTTTTCTATTCTCTCAATTGATTTTTGAACCTGTTTGGGGAGATTGCTTTCCTCTCCCCAGAAAGCCTTACCATATTAAGTAATAAATTTTTGTTATACCCTTTTGGTGTGTGTCTAGGGTCTTCATACTTGACATTCAAACCAAATTTTGGTAAAGATCTATTCTGTCCCTATGGCATGGCCCCTGTTTCCACAGGATGCTGACAATTTGCTTTGAGAGTGGGATGTATAGACAATGGGCACCATTGCTGGGAGTCTTTCTTCTCTTTCTTTGGCTGCCTAATGGCAAGCATACATTTTGAGCTGCTCCTGCTGAGTAGCCTGTGCTTTGAGCTGTGCAGCTTTGTGCTGCATTTGCTGCATTCTACTGAGCCTCTGTTAGAGGTTTAACCAATCTATATCAGAAATTTTAGTAACTAATTGAGTTTTTAAGAAGGGAATATAGGTTTTAGGACAGCATTAGGGTGGCCCTGTGTCATCTGTTTTGGCCCAGACCTATCTGTGTATTTTAGATGAAATCATGTGTTTCAATTCTAGCATAGCATGTGACTGTCATTAGGTGAAGGGAACAATCCTTA
This sequence comes from Homo sapiens, assembly GCF_000001405.40. Classification (NCBI taxonomy): domain Eukaryota; kingdom Metazoa; phylum Chordata; class Mammalia; order Primates; family Hominidae; genus Homo; species Homo sapiens. Next base: position 93,816,906 of record NC_000007.14, on the reverse strand, counting down.
TCCTGTGGCCAATTGTGACCTGGTGTGTTTCAAACAAGTATAGGCCTTATTCTACAGCTAGCTCAGTACAAAGACTATACCCTGTGAGATATATAGCTTTACTGAGTGCTCACTCACATGGAGGATAAATGGCCCCTATTTGAATAGAAGTTATTTGAAAATTTGAATTATTAGTGTCTATACCCAAAAAGGCAGATGGCTCATTAGGACTCTACAAAATGCCTTTGCTGGTGCTGCTGCTATTCTCTTACATCTCTTTTGCCAAAAAGATTCTCACCTTTAGGAGTATAGAGAAAAACCCATGGCATTCCTGTGGCACAACCAAGGGTTAATTCAATCATTGTTATTAAGGAGGCTCCTAACCCGGACAATACTGATTTGAAGATTTCTGGAAGAATCCAGAATATACTAAAAGAATTTAAACAACAAAGATAAAGAGATACTGACTTGCTTCTATGCCTCTATAATGTAGGATTTTAAATTAACTTTAAGAAGCTGAGATACACCAGTTGACAAACCTTCACGGCCATAATCAATACTGGGGCTTGAATTACAGTTATACTTGGGGAATACCACTAAATTTAAACAAAGTACCCCCATAATCTCAGGGGAGTTACTGAACATAAAATAGAGGGCACTTTAACCTTTGATACTACTACATTACCTAAATTCTTCATATTCAGAGCACCCATGGTCCCAAAATATTGCATGGTGAGCAGAAACACTCTGGTCTAACATGGAGTAAATTAAATTTAAGTCTTTGTCATTACAAATTTACTTGAGAAATAGGACTATATAGACATGCCCTCAACCTATTCCTCTTAGTTGAAATAGTCAATGTGGCTTAATGTAAATTAAAACAGAAGCCTTCAGCACCTATTATTATACAAGACCTATTTACATAAAGACCTGTTTATATTTAGTATCCCCACTTCTCCATTTAATAGTAAAATTTGGCCTCTTATTTATTATTATTATTATTATTATTTTTTTTTTTTTTTTTTTTTGAGACAGTCTCACTTTGTCACCCAGGGTGGAGTGGAGCTGCACGATCTCAGCTCACTGAAACCTCTGCCTCCCAGGTTCAAGCAATTCCCCTGCCTTTCAGCCTCCTGAGCAGCTGGGATTACAGGCCCATGCCACCACACCTGGCTAATTTTTGTATTGTTAGTAGAGGCAGGGTTTCGCCATGTTGGCCAGGCTGGTCTTGAACTTCTGACCTCAAGTGATCCACCCGCCTCGTTCTCCCAAAAATTTTCCCTCTTCTTATACTTAGCATAAATGAATAGTATCAAACAGTGCACTACCCCAACCTTAATACCTTGGTCCCATCCATTAAGGTCCCCATACCCAATATTACTGAAATTACTGACTGTACAAACAGTCACTTGTAAATATTTTATTACTGTAAACTACAACAAAAGATTCTGGAAACTGTTCAAATTGTGATACAACAGGCATTCCTATTATTGCCCCCAGAGACTCCTTTTTTGTAGAGGCTCTGGCAATTTCCTCTCATATCTTTTGTAGTTTCCAGATCATCTACCATGGCTATAAATTGTCCTTAGACTTAAGATATAAGAAACTGCTCTCCTTAGCTTATGCTATATGCCATTAGAGTGGCAGCTTCTGTCCACACACTGGGCATATGATCTTCCATATCCAGCTATCATGGAAGCAACAACCCTCAAGCTCAATGAGACTACTAGGTCCTTGTTGTTACAGGATAGAACCAAGCCTGGGACCTCTGGCATATCCCAGCTGTAGGAGGGGTTGCTCTCTTCAGTTCTTAGTCCCTTGCTATATGCCAGAGTGTTTGAACAAGTAACCCTTCCCCTAAGAACCCCTAATTACTTGAGTAAGCCCCTTGGTATCAACTGAATGAACAGCAAAGAAAATTTGTAAAGTTTATAGATGGCATTGTCACTATCACTAGTGATGGTATTCCCTGGAGAGCCACTGCTTTCTCTTCCTTAACCAGGATATCCTCAATAAAGGCAAGATATAGGGTCAACGTAATTGATCAAACTTTAGCCATCATCTTAGGACTGGATATCCTGGCCAACAATAAGCTTTATCCACACAATTGTATGGTTTTATGGCCCATTGCAAATAGTCCAGCTGCCAGATCCACTTGATGGCAACAATAACAATTCTTTATCCATGGATGCCTCCTTTACGATAAAGAACTCTGATAATATATTGCCTCACAGATACCAAAAAAAATCAATGCCACATATATCTCTGTACATACTAAAGCCACAATCCAAAGCCTCACCAAGACACTCCTTATCCTCTTCAGAGTTTCAGACATTGATAGTGACAAAGGCACTCAATTTGCTTTTCAGAATGTATAATTACTGGGCTTTTGAATAAGGCATTCAAGGGACATTTTACTTTCCTTGTTGTCAGCCTCAGGCTACAGGCTTCATAGAGGGCTATAATGGTGTAATGGCGACTTCTATGTGTCAACTCCATGGGGCCACAATGTGTCCAGATATTTGGTTAAATATTCTGAGTGTGTCTACGAAGGTGGTCTCATTCAACACTTTGAAGTCCTGAATAGAATGAAAAGGCTGAATAAGGAAGAATTCACTCTTCTCTCTGCCTGACTGGGATATTGATCTTCTTCTGAGTTTGGATTCAGACTCAAACTGGAACTTATATCATCTAGTTTCTTGGTTCTCAGGCCTGTGGATTAAGACTGGAATGATATCACTGGATCTCCAGCTTGCTGACTACAGATCCTGGGATCTGTCAGCCTCCACAGTTGCATGAGCCAATTTTATGTATATCTTACTTGTTCTGTTTCTCTGGAGAACCCTAACTAATACAAATGGCTAACTTAAATAAATCAAATTCAATTAAATGAACATGGTACATTTCAGTTATTGGGCAAACATTAAGGGTGGGTTGTAATAAAGAATCTGACTCCTTTTTTGATGTTTGACTACTGATAACTTCTAAGCCTCACCACTTCCATTTGCCCTTTGCTCCACTTCTGGGCAAGCTCATAAGAAATCCTGCATGCTCCTTCTGAATTCAGACCAGGTAAACTCCCTGCAAGGAAACCGTTATGCCAGTCCCACCCCCTAAGCACTGTACAACTCACAAGCATGTCTCATTTTCATGATTTTTAAAGACATTTTTGGACCAACTTGGAAAGCCTGCTCTGACTTCTCCAAAAAGTCTGCAGTGTCATCAATTTTAACATACAGACCAAATTTTGAAGAATATCCATTTTGTTTTGGAGGTTGATCATAGTACCTTCCCTATGTCAATTTTTTTCTTTACCAATTGCAAAATATAGATATGTAAACCTTAGCAAATTCTGCTCTGCTTCTTGACTTTTCTATTAAAAGTAACCTGGAAAAGAAATCTTTCTATTCCCTGTCTCTTAGACAGGACCTATGTCCCACAAACTAAAAATCATATTTCCCTGCACTGCTTGATAAGACCATATTATCTTACCACTTTTGTTAGGAAGCTACTTGGTGTAACAGTACATGAATAGTCTGAGGGCAACTATAGTGGAGCGTGTTTGGATGTACACAATGACAGTTCCTTGATTTCCCTCAAGAACATTATTAGGTTATCAAGGGCTTTATCTTTTCCCAGCTTTTCCTGTTGTTGAGCATTTTCTTCTATATCAATTATCTATTTTTTCTACCTATTTATCCCAAAATGCAGGGGCTTAAAACAATTGCTGTGTTGCATGCTCACAATTCTGTGGGGCAGGAATTTAGACAGAGGATGCTGGGGATAGTTTAGCTTATTTCTGCATCACATGGCATCAACTGGTGCAAGCAAAATGGCTGGGGGATGGATACATCAGTTAGACTGGGGTCGTAGGTCTGGGGCTTCTCCTCTTGTTATTTCAGGGTGCCTTCAAATATTCTGGCATATAGCAAGGGACTAAGAACTGAGGAGAGCAACCCCTCCTACAGCTGGGATATGCCAGAGGTCCCAGGCTTGGCTTTATCCTGTAACAAATAGGACCTAGTAGTCTTATTGAACTTGAGGGTTGCTGCTTCCATGACAGCTGGATATGGAAGGTCATGTGCCCAGTGTGTGGACAGAAGCTGCCACTCTAATGACATGTAGCATAAGCTAAGAAGAGCAGTTCCTTACATGTGAAGCCTAAGGACAACTTATAGCCATGGTAGATAATCCAGAAACTCCAAAAGATATGAGGAAGTTGCCAAAGCCTCTACAATAAAGGAGTCTCTGGGGGCAATAATAGGAATGCCTGTTGTATCCCAATTTGAACAGCTTCCAGAGTCTTTTGTTGTAATCTACAGTAACAAAATATTTACAGATTACTGTTTGTACGGTCAGTAATTTCAGTAATATTGGGTATGGAGGCCTTAATGGATGTGAACAAGGTATTAAGGTTGGGTTAGTGCACTGTTTGATATTACTCATTTATGCTAAGTATAAGAAGAGGCCAAATTTTACTATTAAATGGAGAAGTGGGGATAATAAATGTAAATAGGTCTTTATGTAAATAGGTCTTGTATAATGATAGGTGCTGAAGGCTTCTGTTTAAATTTACGTTGAGCCACACTAACTATTTCAACTAAGAGGAATGAGGAAGGGGTACCTCATTTATTTACCATGTGGACTCTTCACATGGTCAGCTTGACCTCCCTCACTGCATAGTGTTCCCAAGGTAACTGGACTTCTTAAATGGCTGCTGGCTTTCCCCAAACGCAAAAGTAGAAAGCGCAAAAGAAAAAGCCTCTAGGTTTTCCTAAAGCTTCGGCTCAGAACTGGCACATTGTCACTTCTGCTGCATTTTATTCCTTAAAGCAGATTTCAGGCCAGCCCATATGTAAAGAGGGGAGATTATACAAGGATGAGGATACCGTGAGGCTGGTTCATATGGCTGGTGACCAAAGTAATAGCCTATCACACCTTCCAAAGCAATTTCTACTTCCAAACTTCCCTGACTTCTGGCACATTGAACATGTTTTGACCACAGAATGTATGAGCAGCAATACTCACAAATACGTGGGGAGACATCATAAATATCACAAATCAGATAAAGTGTGTTAGAGCACATGAAAAAAAATTACAGAAAGCATAAAATCAGACCTCATATTTCCTTTCTCTTAATAAGACTGTAAGGTTGAACAACCATGAGTAATTTTCCAGAATCTAATTGGCTCAAGGACAACCTTCTATCATATTATGATATCTTACGCTTACTATCTTTTGTTTAGCAGGGTTTGTTGTGAGAAAAAAAATAGCTAGCTAGGATTTCTATCATTTTTTATTCAACTTTTAAAAGCATTAAAAATGTATCACTTAAAATATATGTGGGAAAAAGAAAGAGTGAGCAAAGGGGCACTGATATGTGCATAAAGAGGGAGGAATTGAAGTGATCAGGTGAAAATGAAATGAACTGCCAAGTCTCCATTTAGATAACAAGCAGGATAGGGTTATTTACTGTTCTATTCCATCACTGACATTTTCTTTCACACCACAGGTTGCCATGACCCCTCATTTTATAGCATTTCACCATCAGAATTCTGCCACATGACATTTCACTAACCACATTTCATTGAACATCTCTTAACCCTTGACATTTGGTCACTGATGATATATTTTGAATCTGCAACCAGAAACCTTTTCCAAAGAAGTAAGCCATGTTTTTAGAGTCAATGAAAAGGATGTAGATGTCCTCTCTTTATTTTAATGAGACATTTTCCATTCCCCAGATGTAAGATTTTCTACTAATATTCTTTAGATGCAAGTTAAAAATATTATTTCTCCCTCTACTAAGATTTGCTCAGCACATGTTATAATCTTAATAACTACTATAAAGCTATTCAGAAGAAACATCTTTTCTTTTAAGGACTAAAAGTAGCTTATTACTTTTTAACTATTCTTTGCTTCTCAGAATCTACCTGACAAGAAGACTTTTATTTGGGATTTTTATTTGTAAATTTCTCTTACATTTTACAATTGTTAAAACAGTGTATTATAACTTAGCCTAAATTTTAATTTTCCTTTGAATTTCTACATACTTTTTAGCAACCCAATGAACTTTCATGTCTTCCTCAAATAGCTCACAATACTTGCTAAGCAACTATATTAGGACTTGGCAAACAACAGTGTACAGGCCAAATATGGCCCATGGCATGTTTTTGTAAATGAAGCTTTATTGGAACACAAGCAATTTATTTGCACAGTACCACAGCTACTCTTGTGCTACAGTAGGAAAGTTGAGTAGTTGCAAAAGACACTGCAAAACCTAAAATATTTACTATCTGACTTTTACAGAAAAACTTTTCTAATCTGTGAGAATATTGTAGTTTCATAAGACAGCATTTTGAAATATTTTGATTCACTTCTGAAAGACAAAAATAGTTATATATCTCAAAATGAGATTATGTGTACACAAACTTCTTGATCCATAAAGAAATGTAACTGTTTTTCTCCATCGTCCATATTGTGTATTTTATTTTTCTTTCTTTTCTTCTGTGCAATTTTATGGATTTTTTTTCTTTGGTTGCTCTTTTTTTTCCCCTTTTTGGACATTGTTCTTAAAGTGTGGTTTCTTGACCACCTCAAAGTCACCCGATACTCGTCAAAAATCAAATCACTGGGTTCCATGTCACTGAAGCCGGTGATTCTTCAGCTTTCCAGTCACTTATTTTTCTTTGGTGTCAGGGCACGCATTCTCATTCCACTGTGCTTCACACTGGTCAATGCAAATGATAGATTTTTAGCAACTTCCAATTCCTTTTCAGATTTCATAATTCACAGAATCAGTTAATAGTTTCAGATATCATTAGAAAACTTGGAGGATTATCTGCCTTAAAAGCAAATGTTATTGATTAGAATAAGATTGTCCTGTAAGAAAAGAATTTATGTAGTTTCTACACATTGGAAAATCTTTTCATTTGATCTACGTAATAGTTATCTATTTCTGCATATTACAAATTACGCCTATAATTTATTAGCTTGAAATAAATATGTCAGTAATTCTGGGCATTGGTTTTGCAGGGTGACTTTGGACCAGGGCCTCTCAGAAGATTGCAATCAAGGTGCTAGCCAGAGTGACAGTCATTGCATGGCTTGACTTCCATGCTCACTCACGTGGCATTTAGAAGGAAGACTTCTGTCTTCAATGGAAGCTCACAGCATGGCAGCTGACTTCCTTCACAGCAACCAAGAAAAAGAGAAAGAGAGTACAGCTGCCATACCGCAAACTGTCCTAATGGAGAAGCCCATAGGATAAAGACCTAATATCCGTGGTCAGCAGCCAGTGAAGCCACAGGAGGACTCTTTTAAGCTTAATCCTTAGTTAAACCTTGTGGCCTTATGAGAGACTCTGAGCTAAGAAATGTACCAGAGCAACTATTTAATGCAAACATCAACCAAAGAATGTTTGTGTTGCTCTATTAATAGCAAATAAAGAAGTTTTTAAGGCCAAAAACAAAACCACAGATAAATAATAAAATAATATATATTTTAAATATTTTTTTAAAAAATTATTTTCCATAGGTTATTGGGGTACAGGTGGTATTTGGTTATAAGAGTAAATTATTTAGTGGTGATTTATGAGTTTTTGGTGCACCCATCACCCAAGCAGTATACAATGCCACCTACTTGTAGTCTTTTATCTCTCACCCCCCTCCCACCCTTCCCCCTAAGTCTCCAAAGTCCGATGTATCATTCTTATGCCTTTATGTCCTCATAGCTTAACTCCCACATATCAATGAGAACATATGATGTTTGGTTTTCCATTCCTGAGTTACTTAACTTAGAATAATCGTCTCCAATCTTTTCCAGGTTGCTGCAAATGCGGTTAATTCATCCCTTTCTATGGCTGAGTAGTATTCCATCATATATATATGCCACAGTTTCTTTATCCACTAGTTGATTGATAGGCATTTGGGTTGGTTCCACAATTTTGCAATTGCGAATTGTGCTGCTATAAACATGAGTGTGGAAGTATCTTTTTTGTATGATGACTTCTTTTCCTCTGGGTAGATACCCAATAGTGGGATTGCTGGATCAAATGGTCGTTCCTCTTTTGGTTCTTTAAGGAATCTTCACACTGTTTTTGATAGTGGCTGTGCTAGTTTACATTCCCAACAGCAGTGTAGATGTGTTCCCTGATCACCACATCCATGCCAACATCTACTATTTTTTTTTGATTTTTTGATTATGGCCATTCTTGCAGGAGTAAGGTGGTATCACATTGTGGTTTTGATTTGCATTTCCCTAATCATTAGTGATGTTGAGCATTTTTTCGTATGTTTGTTGGCCATTTTATATCTTATTTTGAGAATTGTCTATTCACGTCCTTAGCCCACTTTTTGATGGGATTGTTTGTTTTTTTCTTACTGATTTGTTTGAGTTCATTGTAGATTCTGGATATCAGTCCTTTGTCAGAAGTATACATTGTGAAAACTTTCTCCCACTCTGAGGGTTGTCTATTTACTCTGCTGACTGTTCCTTTTGCTGTGCAAAAGCTCTTTAGTTTAATTAAGTCCCAACTATTTATCTTTGTTTTTATTGCATTTGCTTTTGGGTTCTTGGTCATGAAATCCTTGCCTAAGCCAATGTCTAAAAGGGTTTTTCCAACGTTATCTTCTAGAATTTTTATAGTTTCAGGTCTTAGGTTCAAGTCCTTAATCCATCTTGAGTTGATTTTTGTATATGGTGAGAGATGAGGATCCAGTTTCATTCTCCTACCTGTGGCTAGCCAATTATCCCAGTTCCATTTGTTGAAAAGGGTGTCCTTTCCCCACTTTATGTTTTTGTTTGCTTTGTCGAAGATCAGTTAGCTGTAAGTATTTGGGTTTATTTCAGGGTTCTCTATTCTGTTCCATTGGTCTATGTGCCTATTTTTATACCAGCACCATGTTGTTTTGGTGACTATAGCCTTATAGTATAGTTTAAAATCAGGTAGTGGGATGCCTCCAGGTTTATTCTTTTTACTTAGTCTTGCTTTGGCTATGTGGGGTCTTTTTTGGTTTCATATGAATTTTGGATTTTTTTTCTAATTATGTGAAGATTGATGGTGGTATTTTGATGGAGATTGCACTGAGTTTGTAGATTGCTTTTGGCAGTATGGTTATTATCACAATATTGATTCTATCCATCCATGAGCATGGGATGTGTTTACATTTGTTTGTGTTGTCTATAATTTCTTTCACCAGTATTTTGCAGTTTTCCTTGTAGAGGTCTTGCACCTCCTTGGTTAGGTATATTCCTAAGTATTTTCTTTTTTTTTTTTTTTTTTTTTGCAGCTATTGTAAAGGGGGTGGAGTTCTTGATTTTATTCTCCATTTGATCACTGTTGGTATATAGAACAGCTACAGATTTGTGTATATTAATCTTCTATCTGTAAACTTTGCTGAATGCTTTTATCAATTCTAGGAGCTTTCTGGAGGAATCTTTAGGGTTTTCAAGGTAAATGGTCATATCATCAGCAAACAGTGACAGTTTGACTTCCTCTTTACTGATGATGCCCTTTATTTCTTTTCTTTGTCTGATTGCTCTGGCTATGACTTCCAGTACTATGTTGAAGAGGAGTGGTGAGAGTGGGCATCCTTGTCTTGTTCCAGTGCTCAGAGGGAATGCTTTCAACTTTTCCTCAGTCAGTATTATGTTGGCTGTGGGTTTGTCATAGATGGCTTTTATTACATTGAGGTATGTCCCTTGTACGCCAATTTTAATTGTTCTGTAAAATAAAGATAAAATAACAAGAAGATAAAATAACTCCAACTTTTCATGCACCTAACTTATATAGCATTAATAAGTATAAAGCAAAATTTAAGAAAACTACAAAAAATAATAGACACATGCACAATCATAGTAGGTCAAATACATACCTTTGTCAGTAATTGATTGAGTAGACAAAAAGTTAGCAAAGTCATGAAAAATTTAAACATTACTATTAGCAAAACTCGGCTTATGGAAATGGATAGAACACCTCATGAAACAGTAATTCTTTCCAGTTGTACAAAGAACATCTTTAAAACTTTACCATGTGCTGTGTCATAATGTTAGTGTGAACAAATTTCAAGAATTGAAATAATAAAAATGTTTATTTTTACCTCAGCTCAATTGCACTATAAATAATAAAAATATTTCTATTTAAATTTATGTATTTCATATTGTATAATATAGTGTTTTATTTATCCTATCTATTGTTTATTTGCATTTTACTCTAGTAGAACATAAACATCTGGAGAATAGGGAGTTTTAAATTTTAGGTTTTTCGTGTTTTTCCTGAAGCATCCATCCCCAATCATCTCTGACACTTTCTGGAACAGGGTGAATCCTCAATATATATTTGTTTGTGCTGACGTTGTTGATTGTTAGGGTCAAAAAGAAGTTTCATGTCACCTTGAAAACTATTTGCTTCCACCCTTGTTTTTTCTTTTTTAAGTTATGGCCAGCACCTAGTAACTTGGTAACTAAATGACTAAAGCAGTCTGGAGGTGTATAGAGGCTGCCGCTGGGGTATTGAGTAAGGTGTATCAATTTCTAGGGATTGTTGCTTGGAAGGGGAGAGGTTGAGGATATGGCTGCAGAATATCGATGGCAGCTGTTGCAAAATTACAAAAGCACTGAGGGTAATACCAAGAACAGCACTGTCCAACTGAGGGTCAGGACCATTAACAGATAGCACTGTTGCTTAAATGGTTAAAGGAGTAATAATAAAAATGGAGACCCCAACCAATTATATACAATATTATCTTCACATATATAGTCAATTTCTTTAGTATTGCTTTAACCATGTATAAATACTGTTTAACTTATCCATTGTGTCTTTAATTTTGTATTTGAAAGTTTTCTATTTTTCAGGTTTTGAATTGCCATTGGTTCTTGTTTTCGGACTTTCCAATTTTATACATAAATTTACAATTCTGTGTTTTATTTCCTTAAATATATTAAGTGTAGTTACTTTAAATGGTGTTTGATAACTATTATCTGGATCTCTTGTAATTTTTTTCTATTTTTTATTTTTCTTTTTTATTACATTCTTATATGGTTGGTTACTTTGTATGAAATACTAGATATGTGTTAAAAATTTTAGAGATAATTTGAAACCTGGCATAATATTTTATTCCTCCAGACAGAATATAAGTTTGCTTTTGTCAGGTGTTTAGGGACACTAGCCTTTCTGGATTTCTTTAATTTAATTACAGATTAGATTGTTTGTAGCTGGGTTTCAGAGTTAAAAAGAAAATGTTCTATTATTCTTTCACTCTTCTTTCTAGGCTAGAGGTTATCAGGGTCCCAATTTAAACCTGGGGTTTTAATAATTTCCCTCTTTAGTGACTCTTGAATTTCAGACTTTTTGCTTAGCATAACTTCTGCTGAAAGTTCTTTTCAGCTTCTTTGCCTTTTTTGCACTTCTAATGGAATCAAATTATGTGTCTAGGGGAGAAGTGACCCCCAAATGCCAGGATCATTTCTCTGGATTTTCTTCTTTGCCCTGATGTTGCTTCATAATTCTTCCCTTAGTAGTATTCTGCTACCCTTAAACAGGGTGATTTTTAATAATCTGATCAGCTTTCTAAATTGTTCTCAGTGGGATGATTGGTACAAATGACAAATTCTGCCATTATCTTAAGTGAACCACATTTATTTGACTTCCTGGCACAATATCATTTTAGGGTTCTGGCACAAACTCATGGAGATGACTGTGAATAAAATCCCAATTATTACTTGATACTAGACTCTTGTGTCTTCTAATAGGTTGTGACTCAGAAAAGACTTAATTTTAATTACACGAATAAAGTATGAGACATTTTTACACATGGAAGAACTGTTTAAACCTTTCACAACTGATTTAGTTATCTTAGGGTACCTAGAGTGCAGATTGGTATTAAAAAAAAGTGGCCCTGTCTTGAACAAGCATCTTCTACCTTCTCTTCCCTCTCAGTTCTAATACTTCGTTCTATTTATGTCTCAGAAGTGTTGAGTGCTAGTGACACATTTGCACCATGTTCTCTCCCTTCCACTTGCCACCACCCACCTTCAATTTCTCCTCCTATATCCTGTGCCTGCCTCTATGCATAGAAGTCCCATTTAGAATTCCTGTGAGACTATCTGGCCAGTACGCTTGAGCAACTGAACGTATAGGCTTCTGGGCCAGATAATATTCTGTCTCATGCCTTGAAGACAAAGGTAGATTCTGATGTTGGCAGTAAGAGTCCGAGCATTAATTTATATGTGCATGCATGTCTGCCTATGAAAGTATGTGATAGTGATTACTATTGTTGATATCAACATTATTAATTTATTTACTGTTTTTTTTAGAGACAGGGTCTCGCTCTGTCACCCAGGCTGGAGTGCAGTGGCACAATTGTGGCTCACTGCAGTTTTTAACTCCTGAGTTCAAGTGATCCTTCCGCCTCAGCTTCTCAAGGAGGTGTGTTCTCTGTTTTGTTCCATTGGTCTGTTTCTGTTTTTATGCCAGTACCATCCTGTTTTTGGTTACTATAGCTCTGTAGTATAATTTGAAGTCAAATAATGTGATTCTTCCAGTTTTGTTTTGTTTTGGTTTGGTTTTGCTCAGGATAGCTTTGGCTACTCTGGGTCTTTTGTGATTCTGTATAAATTTTGAGATTATTTTTTCTATTTCTGTGAAGAATGTCATTGGTATTTTTATAGGAATTGCATTAAATCTGTACATTGCTTTGGGTAATATCGCCATTTTAAAAATATTGATTTTTCCAATCCATAAATGTGGATTATCTTTCTGTTTTTTTCTGTGTCCTCTTCTATTTCTTGCATCCGTGTTGTATAGTTTTCACCATAGAGATTTTTCACTTCTTTGTTTAATGCGTAGATATTTAATTTTATTTGTAGCTGTTACAAATGAGATTATTGATTTCTTTTTCAGATTATTCACTATTGGCATATTGAAATGCTACTGATTTTTATATGTTGATTTTATATCCTGCAACCTTACTGAGTTTATCAGTTCTAATAGTTTTTCAGTTGAGTCTTTAGTTTTTTCCAAATATAACATCATATCTACATTGTTAATTTGTCTTCTTCCTTTCCAATTTGGATGCCCTTTATATAAAATTCTTTCTCTTGTCTGATTGCTCTAGCTAGGACTTCTAGTACTATGTTGAATAACAGTGATGATAGTGGGCATCCTTATTGTGTTTCAGATCTAAAAGGAAAGGCTTCAGTTTTTCCCCATTCAGTATGATACTAGCTGTGGGTCTGTCATACATGGCTTTTATTATGGTGTTGAGGTACGTTCCTTCTATACCCAGTTTTTTATGATTTTTTTTGTTATGAAGGGATGTTGAATTTTATCAAATGCTTTTCTCAGCATCAGTTGAATGATCATATGGTTTTATCCTTCATTCTGTTGATATAATGTATCAACTGATTGATTTGCATATGTTGAACCATCCTTGCATCTCTGGGCCAAATCTCACTTGGTCATGATGAATGATCTTTCTAATGTACTGTTGAATTCAGTTTGCTAGTATTTTGTTGAGGGTTTTGTATCAATATTCATCAGAGATACTGGCCTGTAGTTTTCTTTTTTGGATATGTCTTTGTCTGGTTTTGGTATCAGTGTAATACTGCCCTCATAGAATGAGTTTGAAAGTATTTCCTCTTTCTTTATTTTTCATAATAGTTTGAGTAGGACTGGCATTGTTTCTCCTTTAAATGTTTGCTAGAATTCAGCAATTTAGCCTTTGGGTCTTGGGTTTTTCTTTGCTGGAAGAATTTGTTACAGCCTCAATCTTATTACTTGTTATTGGTCTGTTCAAGTATTAGATTTCTTCATGGTTCAATCTTGGTAAGTTGTATGTGTCTCGAAATTTGTCCATTTCTTCTGGATTTTCCAATTTATTGGAATATAATTGCTCGTAGTAGTCACTAAAAATCCTTTGCATTTCTGTGGTATTGGTTGTAATGCCTCCTTTTTCATCTTTTATTTAATTTTTTTGGGCATTTTCTCTGTTTTTTCTTGGTATAGCTAAAAGTTTGTCAGTTTTGTTTAACTTCTCAAAAAACCTGCTTTATGTTTTATTGATTTTTTTATTGTATTCTACATTTCAAATTCATTTATTTCTACTCTGTTTTTTATTATATATTTTCTTCTATGAATTATGTGTTTGGTTTGTTCTTAATTTTCCAGGTCTTTAGGATGTATCATTAGATTGCTTATTTAAAGTTCTTTTTTGATGTAGGTACTTACCTCTTAGTACTGTTTATGCTGTATTCCATAGGTTTTGGTGTATTGTGTTTCCACTATCATTTATGTCAAGAAATTTTTAAATTTTCTTCTTAATTTCTTTATTGACCCACTGGTCATTAAGGAGCATATTGTTTAATTTCCATGTACTTGTATAGTTTACAAAATTTCTCTTGTTATTGATTTCTAGTTATTTTCCATTGTGGTTGGAGAAGATGCTTAATATTATTTCAGTTTTTTCAAATGTTTTAAGACTTGTTTTGTGACCTAACATGTGGTTTATCCTTGAGAATGATCCATATGCTGAGGAAAAGAATGTGTATTCTGTAGCCATTAGATGAAATGTTCTATAAGTAATCTATTAGGTCCATTTGGTTTATAGTGCAGATTAAGTCCAGTGTTTCTTTGTTGATTTTTTTTTTCTGGAAGACCTGGCCAATGCTGAAAGTGAGTTGTTGAAGTCCAGCTCTTATTGTATTGGGGTCTATCCCTCTCTGTAGCTCTAGCAATATTTGCTTTATATATCCAGATGCTCCAGTGTTGGGTGCATATATGTTTTAAGTTGTTATATCCCCTTGCTGAATTGATCCATTTATCATTATATAGTGACAATATTTGTCTCTTCTTATAGGTTTTGTCTTCAAATCTATTTTGTCTGCTATTAGTATAACTACTTCTGCTCTTTTTTGGTTTCCATTTGCATGGAATATCTTTACTTATCTCTTTATTTTTAGCCTACATGTATCTTTATAGATGAAATATATTTCTTTTCATGTATGCAACAGCTTATTGCATCTTGTTTTCTTTTATTTTACATTCAGTCACTCTATGTCTTTTGATTAAAGAGTTTAGTCCATTTACATTCAATATAATTACTGATAACTAAGGACTTACTCTTACCATTTAGTTGTTTGTTTTCTGGTTATTTTGTGGTCTTTTCTTCCTTATTTTCTATTTTATTTTCAGTAAAATTGATTTTGTATGGTGGTATGTTTTAATTTCTTGCTTTTAATTTTTTTGTGTATCTGTTGTATGTTTTTTAATTTGAAATTACTGTGGGGCTCGCAAATACTATCTTATTATTTTAAGCTGATAATAACTTACTGTTTGTATAAACAAACAAACAAAAAGGAAACTCATAAAAACCCTACCCCTTAACTTCTGGCTACTATATATATATATATATGGCTACGATACATATACAATATATATGTTATATATATATACACAATATATATGCTACACACACACACACACACACACACACACACACACACACATATATATATATATATATTTTTTTTTTTTAAAGACAAAGTCTCACTGTATTGCCCAGGCTGGAGTGCAGTGGCAAGATCTCAGCTCACTGTAACCTCTGCCTCCCGGGTTCAAGTGATTCTCGTGCCTCAGCCTCCCAAGTAGCTAGGATTACAGGCACCCACCACCATGCCTGGCTAATTTTTGTATTTTTAGTAGAGACAGGGTTTCACCATGTTGGCTGGGCTGGCCTCAGCCACCAACCTTAGCCTCCCAAAGTGATCCACCCGTCTCGGCCTCCCAAAGTGCTGATCCATGTCATTTAAATCATTATTTCCCTGTATCATATTTTCTACTTTATTTCCATTTTTCTTTGATTTTCAGCAATTTGTCTGTGATATGCTTAAGCATAGTGTTCTTGGTTTTTTTTTCTGCTTAGGGGGTGCCATATTTTTTAAAATATATAAATTTGTCTTTCATCAAATTTGGAAAAATTTCAGCTATTATATCTTTGAATATTTTTTTCTGCTCCGTTCTCTTCTCTTTACTAAGACTATAATTACCTGTTTGGTAGATGTTTTGCACAGGTACTTTAGCACTGCCAATTTTTTAATGCTTTTTCCTCTCTATTTCAGATTGAATAATTTTTATGATCTATATTCAATTTCACTTGAAATTATTGAATTGAAATTACTCAGATTGAATAATTTTTATTGCTCTATATTCAGATTCACTATTTCCTTTGTCATCTCCATTTTCTAAATAAACTCATTCTGTTAATTGCTTATAAAAGTATGCATGTTGCATTAATATTCCTTTGCCTATCTTTCATATTTTCTAGTTTTTTTGCTAACACATCCTATACTATCATTCATTAGGAGAATTGTTTAGCCTCGTTGAACATCATTATAATAACCGCTATAAAGTCCTTGATTGAAAATTCTGGCATATAGGTTACCTCAGAATTGGGCTCTATTGATTATCTTTTCCTTTTAGCATTATCCTTTCTATATTGAGTCAACTTGAATTGTATTTTGCACTTTGTGAATATTAATATTGTAGAGGCTCTAAATTCTGTTACATTGCTCCAAAGAGTGTTGATATTTTTGTTTCAGCAGGCAAATAACTTGTTTAGGCTTGAACTCCAACTCTGACTTAGGTAGGCAACATTTTCAAAACTCAAGTCAATTATTTCAACTTCAGTTTCACTGTTTTGCTTCTGCCTTGAATATGTGTGATTCAAAGGTAAGGCAGAATTTTAGGCAGAGTTAATACGTAAAATATGGGGTTTCTGGCTCAGATTTTCTCCTCCGTAGTATTTTCTGTTTTCTTCTTATAAGAGCTGTGAATGGATTCCGCGTTCCTCATTATATTCGTGAGGATGTCTAATTAATTTGCTGAACAAATAACAGCAGGTCATCCTAAGGGGATAGCCAGGGTATTTCTAAGGTGTACTAAATTTCACCCTGACATTTACCAAATTCTTACATCACTAGCTCCCTCTTCTGTTTCCACAATAAAGTGCAGTTTCTTTAATAAAGGGTATTTTCTATCTTCATCCAATTCTTTGAAAATATTTTATTTCCTTAGAGACTTTCTCTTTGTCACTTCTTTCTTTTCCTCTTGCCATCATGCCTCCATGGGATCTCTCTCTCCAAGGTGCTTACTCTTCCCCAGAACAGTATCTTCTCAAGACTGCTGCTTCTGGCCTATGGACCTTCCAATCTCTCCATATTCTAGTAGTCTAGGAGCCAAGCATTCTGATCAGATCATGGACCTGCTCTCAGCATGTCCCCAGTCAACATGGATATCTCTAGTCCTGAACCCTAGCATGTGTTCTGTGTTCCATCACTGCTGTTACACTCTTCTCTTCTGTCCATATCTTGCCTGACCATCTGCTTTTATGTGAGCTCTGGAGACAACTCTACTAGTTTCAGTTATTTTTTTCTCTAGTTAAAGATAAACTGAGGTTTGAAATATCACCTGTCTCCAGGTGTTATATAGGAATAAGCTATTGGTAGTTTTATTTGCTCCCCTTTTTGATCTGTGTGGTTTTATTTTGGAAGATGTATGGAGATGTATAAAATTCAAGGATCCCTCACCCCTGCTTTTGTATGAAAAGAAAAAGGAAGCATTTTACTGGCTTTCTTTATATTTTATTGAAACCTTACAACAAACCTATGACCCTATGACACACACACATACACACACACACACCTATATGTGTGTATGTGTGTGTGTGTGTGTGTGTGTGTGTATATATATATATATATATATATATATATATATATATAGTTATGTCACATATATACTACAACTTTCTGAAAGTCACAGGGCTAGCATGTGAAGAACCCAAGATTTTAACTTGAGTAATCTGACTTCAGCTCCTATACACTTAGGTATAAAATTATTGCTATATACATATAAAATCCCCATTTTTCAGACAAAGAATATAAAAGGTAGTTTGCCTAATATCATTTTTTTTTGCAAAGGATAAAGTGTGAAGATTAAACTCATATTTAATTTTATAGTTCTTAGCCACAGTACTATGCTACTCGGGTAATAGTTTTTTTATACCTTAGCATGTAGGAGCTGAAGTCAGATTGCCCAAGTTAAAATGTTGTGTCCACCACATGCTACCCATGTGACCTTCAGAAGGTTGTAGAACCTAGAGGTAACTTTTGGACATTCTTCTATAAAGTGAAGATAGTATAGTATTTTTTCTTATAGAAAAATATTAGATGATGAAAAAAATCCATGTAAACTTTATAGCACATGCTAAGTACTCAATAAATATTAGTTATATTAATTTCTAAGGGATGCTAAATTAGCTGTGGCTCTTAGCATTTTCAAGTACCTTCATAGTAAGACGATTTCTAAAACTGAGCTCATAAAAAATATCATAAAATATTTGATTGCAGACTTGAGACCAAATACAAAACAATTTGTCAATGTATACTCTCCACTTGAACTGGCAATAGCTGATTTTATTTTAGACTTCTTCCAAGAGATAATTCTTTCTAATAACTTCCAACTTTGAATGTCTAATTGCACTCTAATGACAGGAGAGTGCTGTCCTATTTCTCTATTCATGGCAAGATTTCCTGAAAGTGTCCTTATCAGACACTTTCAAAATTAAATCCCATTGCTTTTAGTACAAAGGTGGTTGAACTATAAATTTTCCACCCAAAATGATCATGTAAAAGTAAACAAATTTCAAAATGGTCACACTAGAGATATAGATTTTAAGCAAATATTTCTGAAAGAAGCTAAAAGAAAAATTTTAATAAAGTTGACCAATGATACGTTAAATTGTCCATAATACTGAAATGAGTGCTGCTAAGCAGAAGAGACATAACTATTTATCTGAATAATTTATAACTTGATGTCTACCAAATTGAATTTAAGGAAGTAAATAAAAATATATATGTATATATATATACACACATTATTTATGTATATGTATATATTATTAATGCAAAAACATTACAAAGGTTTGAGATATTGCAGAGCCATTCTTCTGGAACAGATTGTTTGGGTCATAAGTTATTGGTGAAAAACTCTCTTTGAAATGATACCTAACATTTGTTCTAATATCAAATATTACATTTCCATCTGTAGGCCAGAAAACTGCACCATCACAGTTATGAAAGAGAAACTAGAATTTATTTTAAAGATAAAGTAAAACCTAGAGCTCACTCACTCTGCGATCCTGTGATTTCATATTATCTTATGTTCACTTTAGAACTGCTGATAACTTGGCAGGGCAGACTAGATTTTGATATTCTATTATATCTTAAATCTGTAGTATTTATGAGGTTGTCTAGTCTAAAAAATCAAAAGTACTGCAAATAAAAAAAAAGAACTATTGAGAGTACTAACCAGTAATGTGGTTTTCAGACTTATTTCTCAGGGAAAATATGCCTCTTAAACTGAAGTTGGAAGCTCCATTGTGAATCAGGGAAAATGTTCTTACTTAGCTCTACATGCAGTGTAGGCAAATTAAATTATTTTCTACATCTTCCCATCCCTGATATGCATTGTTGGATTGTGGTTTATGGAGTTGTTCAAATTTATGAACTATTGTTATAATTATAGATCAGTACAATGCTATTTTTACTCAATTATTGTTTGACTCTTTCTCCTCTTCTGTCTCACCACATCTAGGAATACATATATATTAAAATAATCACCTGCTGAGTTATGTCACCCTAAATGAAGAGTGAGAAGGAAATGAGGATTTGGGGGCCATTTTAGCTAATCTAATGTCTTCTGCCAGTGGTAAGAAATTAAAAAAAAATAGGGAAAAGTAAGTAAAACTGGGGGGCTTGGAGGTCAGTGTGATGCAGCATGATGTCTCCCTATGTTCTGCATCAAGGGACATAGCTATTAGCCTTTCCATATAGCTCCTCTCTAATTACATATTATCTAGACTGCCAAAGTTTTAACTAACCTTGTTGATAACAGTTCAGAAGTAGGATCTAAGCATATAATATACTTCTAAAAAGCTGGACAGTTGTTTCTGTCATGTAACCACAATTGAGAAACATTGATGCAGAGCAATGAACTTGATGATCATATTGATCTCTTAAAATTATAAAATTGAAAGACATAGTGGAAATTGAGTTTGACAGACCTTCAAGAGACCACATTTAATTTCTTGCTAATGTATGAAATTGGCTTAAGTGGACAATATTTCGGTATAGTGAAAGTTTGAAGATACATGGTAGGCAAATCAAGTCACTGACAGAAGAGGTGAGCTCTTCAACTTTTTCCAAATTTTAGTTTCATGCTGGGTGCTTTCAGCTTAAGTATAAAAGCCAGAAAATAGATCTGATTTGAATTGTTTTGTATTGTTTGTAACATATGTAACATAGTGTAATCTATATGGATATTTTGATAGCATTTATTTTCTATAACATTAATTTCATACTAAACTGTTTTTTAAGTAACAATTAAATGGGTGCGTAAATTTAAAATGTAGATGTAATTCAGCATTTAAATTTGTTTATGTAAATGTACACATATGAAATTATACATATGATACTTTTAAGACAAAAGATCAATGCTTGAAGGCACCATTAACTCAATAATATATTGTTAGTGGAATAAATATTAGAAAAATAAAAGTAAATTTAAAAAAAGTAAATGAAACATGCCTGTAATTCCAGAATTTTGGAAGGCTATGGTGGGGGGATGGCTTGAGCTCAGGAGTTTGAGGTTATAGTGAACTATGATTGTGCCACAGCACTCCAGCCTGGGCCACAGAGTGAGACCCTATCTCTTAGAAAAAAAAAAATCATTAAAATAAATAATAAATAAATAAATAAATAAATGCCATATTAATGGGAAGATAAAAAAGGAAATCTAAATGTCCCCATCCTGGTAAAACTATACCTAAACAAAAGTTTAATTCAATTTTCACATGCAGATTATTATGACTTGTTTGTGTGAAATTAGATTCCTAAAATTTATCCCAGTTTTTAGAGTTTCTAAGCCACACATTTGTTCTGAAACAAATCTGTCAGTTTGTACAGTTCTCATTTCTGTGTTCTCTCATGATGCTGGTAACTCTCATGAACCTGGTACTCAGCTGGGCATGGCTGTCACCGCGGGTGACTGTTGTGGATGCCTCATTCTTACCTGAGAATAGTGACACTGCTTATGGTCAAGTAAGTATTTGCCCAATGCTCTCAGTCACCTTTTTTCTCCTTAACATTTCAACTGTTTTGTATTGTTTTATGTTGTTTGTAACACAGTGTAATCTATATGAATATATTATAGTTATATAATATATATACACCAATAATACACCAATTATATATATATATATATATATATATATAAAGAAACAGAAGAGAAGGCTTTAAAATAGACCCATGTAAATATAGCCAACTGACCTTTCACAAAGGAGAAAAGGAGGCAATATAATGGAGAAAGTAGTTTTCACTAAATGGTGGGTGAAATAATTCACATGAAAAAAAAAAAATAGAAAATCCTCAGCAAACGAATGCAGGAACGGAAAACCAAACACCGCATGTTCCCACTTATAGGTG
The DNA here is from genome assembly GCF_000001405.40 of Homo sapiens. Taxonomy (NCBI): domain Eukaryota; kingdom Metazoa; phylum Chordata; class Mammalia; order Primates; family Hominidae; genus Homo; species Homo sapiens. Next base: position 93,795,390 of record NC_000007.14, on the reverse strand, counting down.
GGAGCTGAACAATGAGAACACATGGACACAGGGAGTGGAACAACACACACTGTGGCCTTTCTGGGGGTGTGGTGAGGGGAGGGAGAGCATTAGGAAAAATAGATAATGCATGCTGGGCTTAATACTTAGCAGGTGGGTTGATAGGTACAGCAAACCACCATGACACATGTTTACCTGTGTAACAAACCTGCTCATCCTTCACATTTACCTAGAACTTAAAATTAAAATTAAAATTAAAATTAGAAAAAGAAAATAAATAAATTGAGAGAAGGTCTCACACTTAACACAAATTAACTCAAAATATATCACAGAGCTAAATATAAAACACAAAACTATAAAACTTTTAGAAGATACTATAGGAAAAAAAATCTAGATAACCTTGGATTTGGTGGTGACTTTTTGGATATGACACCAAAAGCAGGCTCCATGAAAGAAATAACTAATAAGCTGGACTTTGTTAAAGTTAAATTTTTCTGCTCTACAAAACATACTGTCAAGAGAATGAAAAGACTAGCCACAGACTGGGAGCAAATATTTGCAAAAAAACAATAATGTTTCTGATATAGGAGTGTTACCCAAATTTATACAACAAACTCTTAGAAAGCAGTTGTAAGAAAATAAACAACCCAATTAAAAAATGAGGCAAAAACCTTAACAGACACTTTACCGAAAAAGATATACAGATGGCAAATAAGCATATGAAAAGATCTTCATCGTATGTCATCAGGTAAATACAAATTAAAACAACAACAGGATACTATTACACACCTATTAGAATAAAAACAATCCAGAACCCTGGCAATACTAAATGCTGGTGAGGATATGGAATAACAGGAACTCTCATTCATTGTTGGTGGAAATGCAAAATGGTATGGCCACTTTGGAAGACAGTTTGGAAGTTTCTCACAAAACTAAACATATTCTTACCATACAATCCAACAATCACACTCCTTGGTATTTACCCAAAGAAGTTGAAAACTTATGTCCACACAACAGCTGCACATGGATATTTATAGCAGATTTTTATAGTTGACAAAACTTGGAAAAAACCAAGATGTTCAATAGGTGAATGGATTTTTAAAAAAGCCAAAATGTAGAACTATGGTAGTCCAAACAATGAAATATTAACTGCTAAAGAGAAATGGACTATGAAGCCATGAAAAGATGTGGAGGAAACTTAAATGCATATTATTAAGTGAAAAAAGTGAATCTGAAAAGGTCACATCCTTCCAGCCATATGACATTCTGGAAAAGGTAAAACTACGGAGATAACATTAAGGTTGGTGCAAAAGTAATTGCAGTTTTTGCTGTTACTTTCAATGGCAAAAAACAAAATTACATTTACACCAATCTAATAAAAAGATCAGTCGCTGCCAGGGGTTAAGGGAAAATAACAGAGGATTTTTAGGACATCGAAAATACTCTGTATAATACTATAACGGTGGAGATATAAGTTGTCCAAACTCATAGAATGTACAACTCCAAGAGTGAAACCTAATATAAATTATACAGTTTGTGTGATAATGATGTGGTTCATCAATTGTAACAAATGTACACTATGATGGGGGATGTTGATAATGCATCAGAGGAGGCAGGGAATATTTGGGACATCTCTATACCTTCCTCTTAATTTTACTGAGAACCTAAAACTGCTCTAAAAATTAGTCTTAAAAATCAATCCCATCTATCTTTAATTCAAGAATGATGATTAGGAGGAGGAGCCAAGATGGCCGAATAGGAACAGCTCCGGTCTACAGCTCCCAGCGTGAGCGTCGCAGAAGACGGGTGATTTCTGCATTTCCATCTGAGGTGCCGGGTTCATCTCACTAGGGAGTGCCAGACAGTGGGCGCAGGCCAGTGTGTGTGCGCACCGTGCTCGAGCCGAAGCAGGGCGAGGCATTGCCTCACCTGGGAAGCGCAAGGGGTCAGGGAGTTCCCTTTCCGAGTCAAAGAAAGGGGTGACGGACGCACCTGGAAAATCGGGTCACTCCCACCCGAATATTGCGCTTTTCAGGCCGGCTTAAGAAACGGCGCACCACGAGACGATATCCCACACCTGGCTCAGAGGGTCCTACGCCCACGGAATGTCGCTGATTGCTAGCACAGCAGTCTGAGATCAAACTGCAAGGCGGCAACAAGGCTGGGGGAGGGGCGCCCGCCATTGCCCAGGCTTGCTTACGTAAACAAAGCAGCCGGGAAGCTCCAACTGGGTGGAGCCCACCACAGCTCAAGGAGGCCTGCCTGCCTCTGTAGGCTCCACCTCTGGGGGCAGGGCACAGACAAACAAAAAGACAGCAGTAACCTCTGCAGACTTAAGTGTCCCTGTCTGACAGCTTTGAAGAGAGCAGTGGTTCTCCCAGCACGCAGCTGGAGATCTGAGAACGGGCAGACTGCCTCCTCAAGTGGGTCCCTGACCCCTGAACCCCGAGCAGCCTAACTGGGAGGCACCCCCCAGCAGGGGCACACTGACACCTCACACGGCAGGGTATTCCAACAGACCTGCAGCTGAGGGTCCTGTCTGTTAGAAGGAAAACTAACAACCAGAAAGGACATCTACACCGAAAACCCATCTGTACATCACCATCATCAAAGACCAAAAGTAGATAAAACCACAAAGATGGGGAAAAAACAGAACAGAAAAACTGGAAACTCTAAAACGCAGAGCGCCTCTCCTCCTCCAAAGGAACGCAGTTCCTCACCAGCAACAGAACAAAGCTGGATGGAGAATGATTTTGACGAGCTGAGAGAAGAAGGCTTCAGACGATCAAATTACTCTGAGCTACGGGAGGACATTCAAACCAAAGGCAAAGAAGTTGAAAACTTTGAAAAAAATTTAGAAGAATGTATAACTAGAATAACCAATACAGAGAGGTGCTTAAAGGAGCTGATGGAGCTGAAAACCAAGGCTCGAGAACTACGTGAAGAATGCAGAAGCCTCAGGAGCCGATGCGATCAACTGGAAGAAAGGGTATCAGCAATGGAAGATGAAATGAATGAAATGAAGCGAGAAGGGAAGTTTAGAGAAAAAAGAATAAAAAGAAATGAGCAAAGCCTCCAAGAAATATGGGACTATGTGAAAAGACCAAATCTACGTCTGATTGGTGTACCTGAAAGTGATGTGGAGAATGGAACCAAGTTGGAAAACACTCTGCAGGATATTATCCAGGAGAACTTCCCCAATCTAGCAAGGCAGGCCAACGTTCAGATTCAGGAAATACAGAGAATGCCACAAAGATACTCCTCGAGAAGAGCAACTCCAAGACACATAATTGTCAGATTCACCAAAGTTGAAATGAAGGAAAAAATGTTAAGGGCAGCCAGAGAGAAAGGTCGGGTTACCCTCAAAGGGAAGCCCATCAGACTAACAGCGGATCTCTCGGCAGAAACCCTACAAGCCAGAAGAGAGTGGGGGCCAATATTCAACATTCTTAAAGAAAAGAATTTTCAACCCAGAATTTCATATCCAGCCAAACTAAGCTTCATAAGTGAAGGAGAAATAAAATACTTTATAGACAAGCAAATGCTGAGAGATTTTGTCACCACCAGGCCTGCCCTAAAAGAGCTCCTGAAGGAAGCGCTAAACATGAAAAGGAACAACCGGTACCAGCCGCTGCAAAATCATGCCAAAATGTAAAGACCATCGAGACTAGGAAGAAACTGCATCAACTAATGAGCAAAATCACCAGCTAACATCATAATGACAGGATCAAATTCACACATAACAATATTAACTTTAAATATAAATGGACTAAATTCTGCAATTAAAAGACACAGACTGGCAAGTTGGATAAAGAGTCAAGACCCATCAGTGTGCTGTATTCAGGAAACCCATCTCACGTGCAGAGACACACATAGGCTCAAAATAAAAGGATGGAGGAAGATCTACCAAGCCAATGGAAAACAAAAAAAGGCAGGGGTTGCAATCCTAGTCTCTGATAAAACAGACTTTAAACCAACAAAGATCAAAAGAGACAAAGAAGGCCATTACATAATGGTAAAGGGATCAATTCAACAAGAGGAGCTAACTATCCTAAATATTTATGCACCCAATACAGGAGCACCCAGATTCATAAAGCAAGTCCTGAGTGACCTACAAAGAGACTTAGACTCCCACACATTAATAATGGGAGACTTTAACACCCCACTGTCAACATTAGACAGATCAACGAGACAGAAAGTCAACAAGGATACCCAGGAATTGAACTCAGCTCTGCACCAAGCAGACCTAATAGACATCTACAGAACTCTCCACCCCAAATCAACAGAATATACATTTTTTTCAGCACCACACCACACCTATTCCAAAATTGACCACATAGTTGGAAGTAAAGCTCTCCTCAGCAAATGTAAAAGAACAGAAATTATAACAAACTATCTCTCAGACCACAGTGCAATCAAACTAGAACTCAGGATTAAGAATCTCACTCAAAGCCGCTCAACTACATGGAAACTGAACAACCTGCTCCTGAATGACTACTGGGTACATAACGAAATGAAGGCAGAAATAAAGATGTTCTTTGAAACCAACGAGAACAAAGACACCACATACCAGAATCTCTGGGACGCATTCAAAGCAGTGTGTAGAGGGAAATTTATGGCACTAAATGCCTACAAGAGAAAGCAGGAAAGATCCAAAATTGACACCCTAACATCACAATTAAAACAACTAGAAAAGCAAGAGCAAACACATTCAAAAGCTAGCAGAAGGCAAGAAATAACTAAAATCAGAGCAGAACTGAAGGAAATAGAGACACAAAAAACCCTTCAAAAACTCAATGAATCCAGGAGCTGGTTTTTTGAAAGGATCAACAAAATTGATAGACCGCTAGCAAGACTAATAAAGAAAAAAAGAGAGAAGAATCAAATAGACACAATAAAAAATGATAAAGGGGATATCACCACCGATCCCACAGAAATACAAACTACCATCAGAGAATACTACAAACACCTCTACGCAAATAAACTAGAAAATCTAGAAGAAATGGATACATTCCTCGACACATACACTCTCCCAAGACTAAACCAGGAAGAAGTTGAATCTCTGAATAGACCAATAACAGGCTCTGAAATTGTGGCAATAATCAATAGTTTACCAACCAAAAAGAGTCCAGGACCAGATGGATTCACAGCCGAATTCTACCAGAGGTACAAGGAGGAACTGGTACCATTCCTTCTGAAACTATTCCAATCAATAGAAAAAGAGGGAATCCTCCCTAACTCATTTTATGAGGCCAGCATCATTCTGATACCAAAGCCAGGCAGAGACACAACCAAAAAAGAGAATTTTAGACCAATATCCTTGATGAACATTGATGCAAAAATCCTCAATAAAATACTGGCAAACCAAATCCAGCAGCACATCAAAAAGCTTATCCACCATGATCAAGTGGGCTTCATCCCTGGGATGCAAGGCTGGTTCAATATACGCAAATCAATAAATGTAATCCAGCATATAAACAGAGCCAAAGACAAAAACCACATGATTATCTCAATAGATGCAGAAAAAGCCTTTGACAAAATTCAACAACCCTTCATGCTAAAAACTCTCAATAAATTAGGTATTGATGGGACGTATTTCAAAATAATAAGAGCTATCTATGACAAACCCACAGCCAATATCATGCTGAATGGGCAAAAACTGGAAGCATTCCCTTTGAAAACTGGCACAAGACAGGGATGCCCTCTCTCACTGCTCCTATTCAACATAGTGTTGGAAGTTCTGGCCAGGGCAATCAGGCAGGAGAAGGAAATAAAGGGTATTCAATTAGGAAAAGAGGAAGTCAAATTGTCCCTGTTTGCAGACGACATGATTGTTTATCTAGAAAACCCCATCGTCTCAGCCCAAAATCTCCTTAAGCTGATAAGCAACTTCAGCAAAGTCTCAGGATACAAAATCAATGTACAAAAATCACAAGCATTCTTATACACCAACAACAGACAAACAGAGAGCCAAATCATGAGTGAACTCCCATTCACAATTGCTTCAAAGAGAATAAAATACCTAGGAATCCAACTTACAAGGGATGTGAAGGACCTCTTCAAGGAGAACTACAAACCACTGCTCAAGGAAATAAAAGAGGACACAAACAAATGGAAGAACATTCCATGCTCATGGGTAGGAAGAATCAATATCGTGAAAATGGCCATACTGCCCAAGGTAATTTACAGATTCAATGCCATCCCCATCAAGCTACCAATGACTTTCTTCACAGAATTGGAAAAAACTACTTTAAAGTTCATATGGAACCAAAAAAGAGCCCGCATCGCCAAGTCAATCCTAAGCCAAAAGAACAAAGCTGGAGGCATCACACTACCTGACTTCAAACTACACTACAAGGCTACAGTAACCAAAACAGCATGGTACTGGTACCAAAACAGAGATATAGATCAATGGAACAGAACAGAGCCCTCAGAAATAATGCCGCATATCTACAACCGTCTGATCTTTGACAAACTTGAGAAAAACAAGCAATGGGGAAAGGATTCCCTATTTAATAAATGGTGCTGGGAAAACTGGCTAGCCATATGTAGAAAGCTGAAACTGGATCCCTTCCTTACACCTTATACAAAAATCAATTCAAGATGGATTAAAGATTTAAACGTTAGACCTAAAACCATAAAAACCCTAGAAGAAAACCTAGGCATTACCATTCAGGACATAGGCGTGGGCAAGGACTTCATGTCCAAAACACCAAAAGCAATGGCAACAAAAGCCAAAATTGACAAATGGGATCTAATTAAACTAAAGAGCTTCTGCACAGCAAAAGAAACTACCATCAGAGTGAACAGGCAACCTACAACATGGGAGAAAATTTTCGCAACCTACTCATCTGACAAAGGGCTAATATCCAGAATCTACAATGAACTCAAACAAGTTTGCAAGAAAAAAACAAACAACCCCATCAAAAAGTGGGCGAAGGACATGAACAGACACTTCTCAAAAGAAGACATTTATGCAGCCAAAAAACACATGAAGAAATGCTCATCATCACTGGCCATCAGAGAAATGCAAATCAAAACCACTATGAGATATCATCTCACACCAGTTAGAATGGCAATCATTAAAAAGTCAGGAAACAACAGGTGCTGGAGAGGATGTGGAGAAATAGGAACACTTTTACACTGTTGGTGGGACTGTAAACTAGTTCAACCATTGTGGAAGTCAGTGTGGCGATTCCTCAGGGATCTAGAACTAGAAATACCATTTGACCCAGCCATCCCATTACTGGGTATATACCCAAAGGACTATAAATCATGCTGCTATAAAGACACATGCACACGTATGTTTATTGCGGTACTATTCACAATAGCAAAGACTTGGAACCAACCCACATGTCCAACAATGATAGACTGGATTAAGAAAATGTGGCACATATACACCATGGAATACTATGCAGCCATAAAAAATGATGAGTTCATGTCCTTTGTAGGGACATGGATGAAATTGGAAACCATCATTCTCAGTAAACTATCGCAAGAACAAAAAACCAAACACCGCATATTCTCACTCATAGGTGGGAACTGAACAATGAGATCACATGGACACAGGAAAGGGAATATCACACTCTGGGGACTGTGGTGGGGTCGGGGGAGGGGGGAGGGATAGCATTGGGAGATATACCTAATGCTAGATGACACGTTAGTGGGTGCAGCGCACCAGCATGGCACATGTATACATATGTAACTAACCTGCACAATGTGCACATGTTCCCTAAAACTTAGAGTATAATAAAAAAAAAAAAATTAAAAAAAAAAAAAAAAAAGAATGATGATTAAATTGGAATGTATTATATTGTGAGAGACACATGGAGGAACCATATTATTCATCTCATCCTATCTAGCTATCTATTTATCTGGTGTATATAGTTAATATATCTATTGTGTATTAATAAATGTATAGTTTGTATTATATATAACATATAGTATATATATTTATTATGTATGTTAGTATATGGTAGACATTTTCCATACATATGTAATTTGACTATATATAGTTTCTAGTGTGGTGGGGACTGTGGGGGGCAGTAAGATACGTGGTTATTGCTCACAAGGAGCTTATAGGTAATCAAGGAGCTGGAGATAGGCATAAATGACCATAATATCTATAGAAAGAACGTTATGTATAAGGTATGCAAATAAAATAATGTGGAGATAAGAATCAGGAGAAATTTATTCTGGTTGAAGGATGCATAGATAAGGTGACAGTATAATTTTTTCATCTATAACTAGTACTTTTTTAAAAATGAAAGGGAAGCAATTGATAATTATGCCAGGAAAATAGTTGCTAGCCGGGGCCGTCACAGGCAAACCAGGACATATAATTCATCTTGGAGGGAAAGTCATAGAGAAGAGGTGGCATTCATGGAAGAACTGGAAGATGCTAGGAACTGGGCAAATAGAAGTCAGGTAAGTGTCAGATAGAAGCAGTGGCATAAGCAAAGTCATAGACATAATCTTTAGACTGTGGGTGGTTTCTGAAAATCAAAGATGAGATATTTAAATTCTGAAAGAATTCATAAATATAGGCACTGTATCAGTCAGGATCCTGGAAAGAATTAATTGACATGATCAAATGGGAAATTTAATAAAGCGATTATTAATAGAATTGCATGAATGTTTAGGAAACAATATTTGGTATTTCCATTTCCAGCACCAGCACCAACTCTAAGCTGTTTCCACCCTCTTAAGCCTGAAGTAGCAAGGGAAATTGGGAGTTTCTGAGACCTGATGAGGGCTGTTTGACAGGCCCTGTGACTTTCAGTAAGGGACTCAGCCAAGTTGCTGTGACCTGGATTAGAGAATATATCCCAAACATGGATCACAGGTGAGAACAAGTTCAATAGGGAGAAGATTAAAAATTGTTTTTTTTTTTTTGTTGTTGTTGTTGTTGTTTTCGATGGAGTCTCGCTCTGTCGCCCAGGCTGGAGTGCGGTGGCGCGATCTCAGCTCACTGCAAGCTCTACCTCCCAGGTTCACGCCATTCTCCTGCCTCAGCCTCCCGAGTAGCTGGGACTACAGGTGCCCACCACCATGCCTGGCTAATTTTTTTTGTATTTTTAGTAGAGACGGGGTTTCTCTGTTAGCCAGGAAAAAATTGGGTTTTGTGTATAAGTCCAGGAATGGATAAAACAAAATGTTGGCGTAAAGCTTAAGGAGATATCAAAATTCCCTTGTGTTCAACTAAATAATGACAATTAACACACTTACTCTTTGTCTCCTCTACATCTCTTGGGTATTAACTGGTCTTTATGGTCTAATTTTTTTGTGTCTTCCTTAATTTATAATGGCAATTTTAATAATTATTATTTTAAATGCTTTATGTAGCTCCTTGCTATATATATACACTATATACAAATCCTTATAAGTGAAGTTTTGAAGACTTGATACTGAGACAGAATCAAAGATCCTTCCTGTCCAAAATCAATTGGCATTCCCTGAGAGAATTTCCAGCTACAGCAACTTGAAAAGTTCCTATAAGCCTATAGGTCATAAAGATAAAATGTCTTTTGATCATGGCAGCTCACTCATGGAATTATTTTGGGAGTTCAACCCTCATATGACTAAAATAGTTTTCATGAATAGACTTGTCTTTATCACCTATACCTGGGTTTTGGACTTATTTATATTTGTTACCATCATGCCTGGCTCTTACTCATTTTTGTTTCTAATATCTTTTTCTCTTACAATCCCTAACATCTACCCCAGTGTTCCAATTTCGTGGCTGGAATATGCTTGCTAACACATATTAGACCTTCTCGAGCCAAAAATATTGTTGGCTATGGGAAGTATCATTTAGGTTTTAATCTCTTACGTTTGAGCTCCATTTAATGATAGTACAGCTTATTCTGAATACAACTTCTTATTCCTTCCCCCACCCCAGACCTAGCTACTCAGTGGAATCATTACCTATTCTCTTCATTATTCCTATTTAATTTCTTGAACTCATCACAGCCTAGACTTCATCACCATCTGCAAATAAAACAGCCTGAGTTCTAGAGTCCAGCTCCTCTCATATGCCAAAGCGGGATACAATTACCTATACCATATCATGTTTGAACTTGGTGATCAGGTTTTTCATCTTTAAATACTTCTGTCCCATGAATTCCTTGAAACTTCATTAATTCATTTATTCAAAATATATTTCTATTAACCATCTTCTATTTCTGGGTACTGTACTAAATGATCAACAAATAAATTATTGAAAAAATAGATAAGCCTATATTCTTTCCCTATCACATCCCTGGAATTATACTGGCAAAGTGCACCATTGACTACCTCAATTTCTAATCCAATGCATACCTCTTAGTTCTTATCTTTTTTGTACATTTGCTTCTTGTAACATTACTGGTTTTTTTCCCCTTTTAAAAGCCATCCTTTCACTTCTGAGACACCAGTCTCTCTTATTTACCCCTTAAATTTCCTACTCTTCCTTCTCTCCCTTCTGCTGAATCCTCTTCTTCTGCTATGGTTGAATGCTTTAAGGTAGTTCACCAACAACCCTTGCATTCTGGTATATACATTCTTGTGTAGTACCTCCTTGCACTAAATAGGGCTGACCAACATAATAAACTCCATAGAATATTGCAGAAATGGCATGTGTGATTTCTGAGACAAAGTCATACAAGACATTGTAGCTTCTACCTTACTCCCTACATCACTTGCTTTGGGGGAGCCAGTTGCCACGTTCTGAGGACATTCAAGAAGCCGTTTGCAGACTTCAAATTAGCAAGACACTGAGATCTCCAACAGACAGCACCACCATGTCAGACATGTGAATAAGCTATCTTAGAAACAGATTCTTCAGCTTTAGGCAAGTATAATCCCCAGCTCACCTCTTTTCTACAAACTCACAAGATGCCCTAATCCAGAACCACCCAGGTAACTAACTTTTATCACTTACCACAGACATTATTTGAGATAATTAATGTTTATTTTTTATTTAAGCTGCTAAATTTTTGTGTGGATAACTAATACATCTCCCTATTTAGAAAATATTGTCAAGTTATCCTAATTATAATTGGAAAGCTGGTATTAGGTTAAATTTCCTACTTGGAAAAATTATGAAAGCTAGGTAAAATTCAAAAGAATGGCTGTTTTAAAGAATGAGAAATCAAAGCAACCAAGATATGAGAGGTCAATATCACCCAAAGAAGGAAAGCTCAGTGAATTTGACCCCATATTTGCAGCCATTTCCTTCTCAGGGCATTTATTTCACCTTGCAGGCCGTAAAGGCTGGACACAAAATGGCAACCTAGAGTTTGGAGCAGTCTTACTGGGGTAGAGAGACAAAAATTAGACTTCAGGGTTACCAAGATAGTTACACTTGAGAGTTCAAGATTCTAGAATAAGGAAAACTGCAGACAACTGAACCTAGCATTCTATATCCAATTTTCCTTTAAGACATTTCCTGAATTCTAGGCTGAGTATATGAAATATAAGACTCCTATAAGCAGAACTCATCAGGTAGGTATCAAAAGAAGCTAAAAAGCTAAATAGAATTTTCATTAATCTCAAAGTCCCGTGAAAACAAAAACTGAAATAAATACAGATTAAAGAGGAGGAAATCTGATAATCCGTCTAGAGTTAGTTGAGACACCAGAGATGGTGTGCCCTTTGAATTTTAGGAAACTGGAAACAGATTAGCCTTGAATCATCAAGCTTATCTGCCTGTACTCTCTCTACCTGCCAGAAGAAAATGGCACCAGTGAGAGCCTCAGGAAATTTTTCAGACATGGTGTCTGGAATTTAATTCAAAATTGGTAGACATGCTAGGAAACATGATAAATTAATAAAAACCAAGAAGGGAAATAGACAATAGAAATAAATACTCGATTAAAATGTTTTTAAAAAGAAAGAAAATATAGAATATCTCATTGGACAATATAAATTTATGAAAAATAACCAAATAAAAATTCAAGAATTGGAAAATAAAATAATACGTGAGTTTTGAAACAGATTTAGAGGCAGCAGGAGTGAGAATAGTAAGTAGGAATATAGGGTGTGTTAAGAGGAAAAAATAGCCGGGCGCGGTGGCTCACGCCTATAATCCCAGCACTTTGGGAGGCAGAGGCGGGCCGATCACGAGGGCAGGAGATCGAGACCATCCTGGCTAACATGGTGAAACCCCGTCTCTACTAAAAATACAAAAAATTAGCCGGGCGAGCTGGCAGGCGCCTGTAGTCCCAGCTACTCGGGAGGCCGAAGCAGGAGAATGGCGTGAACCCCGGGGGGTGGAGCCTGCAGTGAGCCGAGATCGCGCCACTGTACTCCAGCCTGGGCAACAGCGAGACTCCGTCTCAAAAAAAAAAAAAAAAAAAAGAAAAAAAAAAGGCAAAAATAGATAAGAAATACTGAAAAGAGTCTATAGGCATATGGGAAGTGAAAAAAAGTATCTGACATATATGCAACTGGAATTCCAGAAGAAGAAAGAGAGAATAGAAGAAAATGCCAGAAAATCTAATGGCCAAGAATTTCCCAAAATTAATTTTAAAAATCAAACTACAGAAGCAAACATTGATATAAACCTAAGAAAGGATAAATATAAAAACAAACATATTTGGGTGCGTATAGCAAAATTGCTGAAAACAAAGGATAAAAAGAAAATAATAAGAGTAGCTGGAAGAAAAGACACATTATTTTCAAAAATTCTCAAGATGTTAGAAGCCAGAAGGCAAAAAGAAAATAACTGCCCAGCAAAAAAAAAATCTTTCAAAAATGAAATAAAAGGTTTTTTTCATAAAGCAAAAATCAAAAGATTCAATGTCAGCAAAATGACTATAAAAGAATAATACTAACAGAAGTTCTTCAGTTAGAAGACAAATGGTCCCTTGAAGGAAGTATAGTAATGCAAGAAAGAATGAGACATACCAGAAAGGTGTATGTCTTTGATCACCCAGACACTTTTGAGGAGTAGAATATCCCTCAGTTGGGATTTGTCTGATGTTTTCCCATGATTAGACTGGGGATATCTGAGGTTAAGTCCACACAAGTAAAGTGCCATTTTCATCACATCCTATAATGATACATACTTCCCATTGCCTGTCAATGTTGATATGAACCTTGGTCACCTGACTGAGGTAGTTTTTGTCAGGTTTCTCCATTATAAACTTTCTGTTTTTCTCCCGTTTCTATACTATACTGTTTGGAAGGAAGTCACTGTGGTCAATGCACACTTAGAGAATAGGGAGCTCAACGCTTGGAGAGCAGAGTATCTATCCATCTATCTATCTATGTAACTTGAAATTCTTCAGCACCAGATACTTGTTTCTTATACTAATTTATTAATTAAATCATTTATTTATATCAGGATGGACTCAGGAATATCTATTTCATACTTTGGGTTATAATCTAATACTACTTTATTTTGTTGCTCTTATCATTTCAACCTTGGACATTGGTAGCTTTTTAACTTGGCTCTATATTTTTGTTTATCTGAATATCATATAATTGGAATCATACAGCATATAGGCTTTTTAGGCTGGGTTCTTTCACTTAGAAATATACATTTTATGTTTCTTAACATCTGTCCATGGCTTGATAATAACTCATTTTAAATACCAATGAATAATATCCCATTGTATATATATACCATAGTTTGTTTGTATGTCTTTATTGCTTCCAGTTTTTGGCAATTATGAATAAAGCTCTTATAAATATTATTATGCAGGTTTTTGGGTGGGCATAAGTTTTCAGATCAAATGGGCTAATACAAAAGAGTATAATTTCTGGATTATATGATGAGATTATGTTTAGCTTTGTAGAAAACTGCAAAACTGTCTTTCAAGATATGTATATATCATTTTTTTATTTCTACCAGCAGTGAATGAGAGTTTTGTTTTTTTTTGCTCTGTATACTTGCTGACTATTTATACTGCAAGTTTTTGAGCTTTAGCCAACCTAAAAGGTAGGTAGCAGCATCTCATTGTTTTAATAAGCAATTTCCTAATGACAAGTGGTGTTGTACATATTTTTATATGCTTATTTGCCATGTATATCTTCTTTGGTGAGGTATCTGTTCATATATTTTGCTCATTTTAAGTTGGGTTGTTGGCTTTCTTATTGTTGAGTTTTGAGAGTCCTTTGTAGATTTTGGATTCAAGTTTTTAATCAGATACATGCTTTGGAAATATTTCCTTCCAGTCTGTGGCTTGACTTTTCAGTCTCTTTCATAGAGCAGTTTTTAATTATAATAAATTCCAATTAATCAATTTTTCTTTCATAGACAATACTTTTGGCCATGTATCTACAAATTCATGGGCAAGTCTAAGATAATAAAGATTTTATCCTGCTTTTTGATTTATAAGGATAGATTTTGAATTTAATTTTGTCTATAATTCATTTTAATTTAATTTTATGAAAGATGTAAAGTCTAAGTCTAAATTCCTTTTTTAAAAAATATGAATGTCCATTTGTTGAAAAGCCTATCTTTTTCCCATTGAATTCCTCTTATTCTTGTGTTAGAAATTAGTTGACTGTAATTATGTTGGGTTATTTCTAAGCTCTTTATTCTATTCAGTTGATCTGATTATCGATTTTTTTTTGCCTTTACCATACTGTGTTGATTCTGTAGTTTGATAGTAAATCTTGAAGTTAGGTAGTGTCAGTTCTTCAACTTTGTTCTTAATATTGCGTTGGTTATTCTTGTCTTTTGCCTTTCCATATAATCTTTAGAATCACTTTGTTAATATCTACAAAATGGCTTACTGGGGTTTTGATTAGGATTGCATAGAAACTATACTTCAAAATGGGAATAACTGACATCTTAACAATACTGGGGCTTCCAATATATTAATACAGTAAATATCTCCACTTATTTATACTATTGGTTTCTTCCAATATATTGACTCTTTTGACAACAACAATAATAATTTCAAAATATGACTCACAAAACTAAAAGTAGAAAATTTTCTTAATCAGATAAACATATAGGAAATGTCAAACTTAGCAATGAAATATTGATGTTTCCCTTTGATATTGGGAAAAAAACAATAATGTTATCTAATACCATCTTTTAAAATTATATGTTGGCTGTCCCAGCAAGATCAATAAGGCAAGAAGAAAATAAGAAAAGTCATAATCCCAACAAGTATTATTTTAACATAACCCAATAAAATTTTTTATAAAATGACCAAAACACTTTTCTATTGCTTTACAATAAGCCAGCAACGAACACTTCTGAATAATTATAACCATGACACTTCTAAATTCTCAAATAGAATTACAAGACCTGAATATTCTCCTCCACTTTAATTGCATATATTAAAACTGAAATGCACAACTTCTGGTAAGAACTTAGATATTTTCATGCAGAATTGATAAAGAGGCAAAGAACATTATTAATAAACTTACTGCCTATGTCTGATCATGTAATTTAAAAATACATTTTAAGTGACCATCCTTGGCACTTTTAAGAACCTAATGCCTTAGTCTTTCTACAAACTCTCTCAGAAAGAGCTGTCAAGAAAATTGTTCTAAAATCCAACAATGTACATAAACCCAGCCCTCATTTCTACTTTCGTCGTGATGGAACATGTAGTCAGCCTTTAACTTGGCCTGATAAAAACTGTGAAGGCAATGCCAAATATCTCATCATACAAACAGGAAGCCCAAATTTGTTATTGGCCAAGAAAGGGTGATACTTCTAAATATTTCATATCATTCTGGAAAGACTAGCACCTTCGTTTCAGTGAATACCAAAAAACTGTGGATTAAGTTACCATTTTAATAATTTCAATTCATCAGCAAGTTACCTGGCAAGTATTCTTAGTGCTACCTGAAAATGGAAAGGGAAAGGGAATGTGAACAAGATTTACATGACTTGCTCCAAACTGCAAATTTAAATCCTGACTGTTGGGATAGCCATCAAAAACCTGAAATTTCTTACTCTAAAACAAATTACCAAGTCAAACTCTTTTTTTTATATGAGGTTTTATTTCTCTTCCCGACAAAGCATAGAAGTTTTTTCTAATAATATACTAGTTAGAGTTTTGCTAATTAACTCCTGTGAGTGGCTTTGTACTTCCAGATCAAACGGTCTAGCTGGCTGCCAGGAAAAAGTTTTCATAGTTTAGGAATGTAGCACATGAAGTGTTCAAGATGTGAGTAAAGACTATTTTAATTGCTGCAATAGCAAAATGTTAAGGCAAATCAGAAAGCAGAGTGTTTTAAAATACTAAGTCCTACTCCCTGCCTGGTAGAGCCAAATGATGAGACGCTACCAAATCCCTTAAAATAAAAACTTTCCAAGACAATCTATTGGGTTTGACTTTGCAGTTTAATCTTTTATATTTTGATTTCAATGAGAGAGAGAGCCCAAGGCTATAACTCTCCAGCAAAAAATAAAAATAAAAAAACATTCGATATCTGATTTACAAGGCTTGCAATAAAAAAGGAAAAAAATATTAAACGAGTTTTCCTTTTATGGCGACCATTCTTAATTATCTATTTTTATACTGTATCCAGGCTACACTTGGGTGTGGACAGCTAACTTGGATATAGAAAACATCAAGTATCACATCTGGAAGAATCACAAATTAGAAGGTAAACTTCTCAATCAGTAAATCAGCAGTCAAGGTAAGCAAGAAAAGGACTTTACCAAGAGACTGACATTAACAGTTTTTGATAGGACTGAATTACAGAGCAAAATCACTGAAACAGTAAAGAAAATTCTGTCCACATAAAAGGCTATTTATTTTTAACTCCCCAAAACTGTTTCAATTCTGATACTCACACCAGACAACTAGTTAAGTAAATAAACTATATAGTGTTTAGCAACTAGGCATCCTATCTAACCACCGTAAGAGGAGCTCAATGTTCAGCCCTCTCTGGCAACCGCTGAGGTCAGCACAGGCAGGGGGGTAGGGAGAACCTCTCCTTTTTCAGTACAAGCGGCTTCTATCTCTTTATTGAAGCCTTGGATGGAGAGAATATAGAATACCTCTTCTGTTTTCTTCACGTCCTACCACAAGCCATCATAAGGCTTCCTTAGAGAAGAATAGTGTTTTAGGCTGAGAAGGTGGAAATTGGGATGCCACTCATTGTTAAAGGTGGCGACATGGAGGGGCTGGGAGTTGTCTCCAGCACTCATGCCACTGAGGGACAACCTCAGCAGCTCACTAGCAAGAATTGAACTCCTGAGAGAGGATCTTCCACATCCACATGAAATCGTTTCTCCTTATCTGGCTCAATGACACGAATTTCTGTAATGGCTTCTGGAGTTTCTGTTTCCAAACACGCAACAAGTTCTGGGAAGACAACCGTATGCGGCAACACAAACCTCCAGTGCTCATGAACCTCGTGGCACACGGTTCAGCAGGCAACTTGCTCTTCAGAGGTGTTGGGTGTGTTTTTACTGTACCAAAATGTTCCTAAGCTTTCAAACACCTCTTTGGAATGCCCTGAAACCCAGCACCCTGACGGACACGTTGTGGTAGAGTTAACAATCTCTTAAGCTGTTTGTTGTAAACTCTACAACTTTTTGGATTTCCTCGCTGATGTCCTCCTAGGCAGACAAAAGCCCTGCAGCTCTACGAAGATCTCAGTCGCAGACATAGTGCCCGTGAAGGCCGCCAGAGAAATTCATTCTGGAGACAACCAGCTCATTCACTACGTCGCCCAGTAAAATGTTTAATAAAAAAAATATAGTTACGTCTCTTTCCTATTGAAACCCTCACAGACCCCCTAACTCCAAAGATAAAATACCCTAGGGCCACACAAAACACAGAAGAGTTTCTGAAACACAAGGTCCTCATTATTGGGAGTCTGTCTACGTATCCAGTCTTATCTTTCCTTCTTCCTCCTCTAAACTTTATGCTAGATTATACTAAACTGTCTATGGTTTTCCAAATATATCATGTTGTGTCATAGAGCTGTGACTTTCCACATACACAGCTTCCTCTGCCTGGAATGTCTGTATCTCCTTTCCTGCCTGAATTTTTTGTTATTATTTCAAAACTCAGCTCAAACATCAAGTCCACCAGAAAAGTAAATTACTTCTTCCTGAGTATTCCCATTATATCCTGTATATATTTGTGTTCTGCCTGTTTTATTATCTTTGAAATGCTTTGTTTACCTTCTTATCTCCAACTTTAGAATGTGAGCTCCCTGTGGGTTAACCTTCCTGAGATTTTCTCATTTATCTCTTTATTTGTGTGTCTGACATGGCATATGGATAAGTATGGGTTCTGTTAATAGGTTGAATTAATGAATCTTTGATTCAAAAATAATTAAATAAAAAGGAATTGTTTGTACTGTGGCCATATGTGCATAGAGATGATACAAACACTACAGACACATAACTTCAACCATGGCTGGATGTCTATAGAAGGAATTGTCCTTCTCAGATAAGCTCTCTTTCAAAGAAATGGCATTTGATTGTTAAACTAATATAGTTCTCTACAACTTTTTTTGAGTGGAGGAAAGTCTTTAAGTGTACTGGATATTTCTGGGTTGCTTAGTAACAGAATTTAACCTTCAATATTGCCTATTTCTCCTAGTGGTTATGGAAGAGTATCTCATCAGACCAGTCAAACTGTCTCTGATCAGCATCTTTCAAGTCTAATTTTTTAAAGGTTTTAGACAGAAATAGATGTGTTGCATCAGAGTAGTTTGAATTAAAATGATTTTGAAAAAATCTACAAGCAGACTGGTCTGAAGTCCTTATATTTCAATGAGCAAAAATATTCTCTACATAATTTTCATGATGCCAAAGAAGAAAAAAAACTTTAATTGGAAAACAAAACTAGGTGAATTTTATGGGATTCTTATAGTAATACATTTCCCCCAAAATAAAATCAAAGTAGTCTTAGATTTTGCCTACATCAATTAAAATGAGATTGAAAATGAAATAATCAGGAAATAACCTGATTAATCTATTTAAATTAAGAAAATTCATAAATATATATCCTATAAATATATATATATCCCCTAAATATTTAACATTGGAGACTTTCCACCTCTGATAAACTTAAATCAGTATTTGAAGCTTTGCATAACCAACACGTTCAAGGAAATGGGTAACGATCAATAATATATGACACCACATTTATTTACTAGTACATAAACCTGAGCATTCATTCATTCAGTTTCACTCATTCATTCAAGAAATATTTAATTGGTATTTACTATATTCTAAGTAGAGCACCAGATGCCAGGAACACAATGAGGAGAAAAAGAAATGAGTCCATGCCCTTTCATAATCACCTGAAATCAGCCTCCACCCCCGAATCTGTTTCTTTTCTATTTGCAGATCAGATTTCTCTCCCACACCTCCTAAGTTACATTTCTTCTGTTCAAAGGCCAACCTGCACAGTACTGTTTTGAATCCCAATTCCAAATCTTATTAGTCCAGAACCAGTTACCTATGGCAGAGAGAAAGGGCATTTCAGGAAAAGCTGAGCTACTGAGAGCACACCCCTGTGTGAATGGTCCAACTGCAGTATCTGCTTTGGGTAGAAAACTTCAAAAATACCTTCTACAAGTTTGCAGGACTGAAAAGATATTTCTTTTATGAGTTGATACATCTCAAATAATGTGTTTGAAAGGACAACTTCTTAAATGTCAGAAAACCCTAGTTCCACTTCTAGAAATCCATTGCTGCTCCCTGAGTCTGAGAGAATAATTTGAAGTAGATAAATAACTCTCTGTATTGATAGTCTCTAGTATCTCGTGCATTTGCCATCTCCTCTGTTTTTATCATTACATAAATATTTAAAAGTGTAAAATTATTTTGAATATAAATAAAATACTTCCTTGACCCCATATTCACTTTTCAAACATGTTCCTCTACTTCAAAGCAGAACTTATTTCTTCACCTCTTATTTACTCCTCAACTCACTCCAGTATATCCTCTCTTTCTAAAATGTCCCTGAAACTGCTTACTGAGAATACTACTAACTATAGACTTTGTGATTAAATATTAAGAACAAATTTCTGCTTTTATCTTATTTAATCTCCTAAAAATATTTGGCTTCCTCACTATTCCCTCCATGAAAAACATATTTTCTTAACTATTATGACACCACATTCTCCTAGATAGCAAGAATAAGATTTTTGTGAAGAAGCACATTGGAGATATAAGAAGGATATCTTAACCCTTGGTGTGGGGTAGGAGGAGGAGAAGGGAGAGAAATGGCCCACACATGAACTCTGTGAGATGTGGGAACAGAATGGTGGGAAGATTCCCCAACCTCAAGACCTATACTTGCTCAGGATCCCAATGTGAATTGGATAGACATCTCTTCCCCTGGTGCATTGGGGTCTGGGAGCAATCCCATGTTGTTCAAGTCATTTTGCTCAACCCACTTAGCCCCTTCTGCTGAAGGTAGTGGGTAAAAATGCTGAAACCAGATGAAGGAAAATGTGATTCAGTCTTTTTTCACATTCCTAACCTTCAGTGGAGAATGGGGTAACTGAGAGATGTTAGTGCACTGGCTGGAATCTCTGCCTTTATCATGAATATTCAAAGGTATACAGAATAACCAACATCTATAAGCCTTAATACACCAGATTAGCTCACGTGATTCACTGTTAGCAAGATAGTTAACAGGAAATCTAACATGAAGAAGAAATATCATGGAAGTGAACTGCTTTTGATCTGTCCTATGGATATGAATAATGAGGAATATATTAACAACTTGAGAGCATGTATCAGAGGCTATGTTGATTATCTTTAGTAAATATGCAAGGTATCTGTCTACCTGGTTACTATACTCCACTATCATTTATTACAATCCACATTTTTCGACAGGGGTTACTCAGGTAAGTTGAATGGGAATATAGTAGGGAATATTACCCTGCATCTTTTAATTCTTTAATAGTGGAAGTAACTCTAGTATTGCTTTTGATTTGCTATACTGACTGGCAGGGAGAAAATTTTAGGGTCCCTTACTTGGTCCTTACTTCCACAGTGGTCCTCAAACCACATTTCAGTAAATCTGTGTGAAGTTTGAGCAGTAGCTAAGTATATCTATCCCTAGTGTGCATTTGAAGAGGAGGGAACTTTATTCCTGGGCATGCAGAATGCCTCACCTTATACCAATGCTGAATGCCTCTTGCTTTCCCAGTGGGGATTTCCTGTAAATACTTATATATGAGATATCATAAGATCCACTTGGTGCACAAATATGCAAAATCCAGACATGTGGTGGAGTTAATACTTCATAGAGGTAAACTTTGATCAATTGGAGAAAGGATCAGGTGGATAATTTTTCGCTTTCTCCCTTTTGGTACTGTTTGGAGATGCAGCAGTTTCATAGAGCCTCTCTGAAGATGAGAGCCTTCATAGAGCCTCTCAAAGGTTGTTTGTCATGAAACTGTGGCCAGATCAATAACATACTCCCTCATATTGAGCCTACTTTATTCCCTTCCTTATTCTTTTCACTGATTACTGCTTTCCTGTTTGAACTCTTCCAAAAGTGTAAGTACATAAGCACTTGGCACCATTATGTTTTCTAAGTAACCAGGATAAGACATTTATGAAATGAGAACAATAACAGCATCTACCTTATGAGACTGCTATTAAGATTAAATAAGAATATTCAGGAAAAGTGCTTAGCTTATTATTGTCACATAGTTCATGCTCAATTAATGTTAAGTATTATTGTTTGCTTGCTGTTGTTATTGATATTATTATAATCTACTCCTTTGAGAGAAATTTCAAAACAATGATGTGTGCTATAAAGCATCTAGGCACACAATCAGCCTTGGTAACTTGATATAGTGGGTCGTTTGTTGGCCAAATGAATGTCTTCTTTTGAGAAGTGTCTGTCCAAGTCCTTTGCCCACTTTTAAATGGGGTTGTTTGTTTTACTCTTGTACATTTGTTTAAGTTCCTTGCAGACTGGATATTAGACCTTTGTCAGATGGATAGATTGCAAAAAATTTCTCCCATTCTGTAGATTATCTGTTCACTCTGATGATGGTTTCTTTTGCTGTGCAGAAGCTCTTTAGTTATATCCCATTTGTCAATTTTGGCTTTTGTTGCAATTGCTTTAGGCATTTTCATCATGAAATCTTTGCCTGTGCCTACGTCCTGAATGGTATTGCCTAGATTTTCTTCTAGGGTTTTTATAGTTTTGGGTTTTACATTGAAGTCTTTAATCAATCTTGAGTTAATTTGTATAAGGTGTAAGGAAGGGGTCCAGTTTCAGTTTTCTGCATATGGCATGCATGTGTTCATTGCAGCACTATTCACAATAGCAAAGACTTGGAATCTACCCAAATGCCCATCAATGATAGACTGGATAAGAAAAATGTGGTACATATACACCATAGAATGCTATGCAGTCATAAAAAAGAATGAGATCATGTCCTTTGCAAGGAGGTGGACGGAACTGTAAGCCGTTAACTTCAGCAAACTAAGACAGGAGCAGAAAATCACTTATAAGTGGAAGCTGAATGATGAGAACACGCAGACATATGGCAGGAAACAACACACACTGGGACCTGTAGGGGTGGGCAGTTGGAGGGAGAGCTTCAGGAAGAATAGCTAATGGATGCTGGGCTTAATACCTAGGTGATGGGTTGATAGGTGCAGTAAACCACCATGGCACATGTTTACCTATGTAACAAACCTGCACACCCTGCACATGTACCCTGGAACTTAAAATAAAAGTTGAAGGGACAAAAACAAAGAGACGAGATACAGAATACTGATTTAAAAAGAAGCCAGTCTTACATTTATGTTTCCTAGAAGAATTACTTTTATTCATAAAGCAGAAGACACCTGTGAAACATGAAATACTTATATTTCCTTCTTAGTCTATTAATCACTTGCCATACATGAAAATAGTAAAGACTAGACAAGGATTTTTTCACTTGTAATGTCAGTATTGATGTGTACTCGGTGTTGGAGGGAAGTAGTTTTTGTAAAATAATTTATTCTTTCTAAATGTAAGCCAAATGCTATAGGCCATACTAGTCTGTGGCAATGAAGCAAAGTAAGTAAGTCTTAAGTTCATTACAGTGCGATGAAGTCATATCAAGCTGATGTCCAGAAACACAATCCAAATTTACCCCTGACTCCAAAATAAAATTTAACAATTTCTGATAGTTCCCCTAAGGGTGTGTTTTACAAACCAATCTGTCAGCACCCACCCCTCCCTCTCCCACTCCAGCTCCCTCTTGCTGCAGGTGAGGCCAATTTGAGAAGGGTAGCCACCACATGGCTCATCACTGAGATTCCAGTGTATATGCCAAGTGTGACTGGGCTCTCAGCAGAAGCTGGCAAGGAAATGATCTCCTTCCCAAATGTGTATTACACTTTGGATCACAGACACAAAGCCTATCATTTCAAAAGTCTTTCTCACATGGATTCATCAACCTTTCTCCATCCCTTATTGCCCAGAATCTCAAGTCTCTAAAAACACTATTTTTCTTTATTCTTTTTTTCCTCCTTTTTCTCAGAATGAATAATTTCAATTGATCAATCATTATATGCACGTGTACTTTCTTCTGCTGCTCAGATCCACTGTTGAACTTCTCTGGTGAGTTTTTCAATTCGGTTATTTTATTTTTCAACTATAGAGTTATTTTGGTTCTTTTATTTTTTCCTCTTTATCAATATCATCTATTTGGTGTAATAATATTCTTATTTCCTTTAGTTCTTCTTACAGTTTCCTTTAGTTTTCTGAATATAATTTAAATAGCTGATTTAAAATCTTTGTCTAGTAAGTCCAACACCCAGACTTTCTAAGAGATCGTTTTCATTGACTGTTTTTCTCTTTTCTTGTGCATAGAACTTTGTTGTTTTGTTACTTTTCATGTTTCATAATTTTTGTTGAAACAAGAATATTTAAAATAATATGGCAACTCTGGAACACAGATTCTCCCTGCTCCTCATGGTTTATTGTTGTTGATATTAGTTATTATTGTTGTTATATAACAACATTTCTGAAATAATTTTTTAAAAGTCTGTATTCTTTGTCATGTGTGGCCACTAAAATCTCTACTTGGTTATCTCGCCTAATGACTGAACACAAACTTTCTTAAATGCCTTCAACAAATAAGTCTCCCAGAGTTTTCTGAGAGTGTCTGTGCCTGAGTGTGTGTGTGCATTCAAACACATTTTTAACACTCATCCAGGCAGTTGACAACTTTGTCTTAGGCTTCATTTCTTTGCACAGAATATCAAAATTAGGCCAAAATAAAATGAGGACCTTCTCAGTACTTTACTAAGCATTTGAACAGTCCTGAACATTATAGATACATCTCTATGCATGTGCATGAACTTCTAGATTCCCAGGAATATGTAGGACCTTTTCTAAGCACTTTATAGTCATTTCATTTTACACAATTTCCTTTTAAGTTTCTTGATTACCTATTATTTTCCCCAACCGTTGTGCCTAGCCTCTGATAATCGTATGTATGGTTGACTTTGTGGATATTTTATGTGTGCTTGAAAAGGAGTGTCATTCCCTATTTGGGTGCAACAAAGTTTGAAGTAAGATAAATATTACTAAAATTGTTTATGTCTTTCACATTCTAACTTATTTTATAGCCACTTTATTTCTCTATAGACTGAGAAATATGTGTTAAAATCATCTATGCTTAGTGTATTGATATTTCTGCTTTATTATGGTTATTCTGTGCTATTTGAAATATAGGCATCCAAAATTTCTGTATCATATTTATGAATAGTAAACTTCAGCATTGTAAAGTGTCCTGTTGTTTTTTACTTAGTACTTGCATTGAAAAAAAGTTTAAAATAGTTTTCTTCTGAGTGAATTAAGCCTAATAATGTTTACTGGTATGACAGTAAGTTGGTTTCTGTTCTTCATTTTATCTCATGTTTTATGTACCATTTTTACTATTTTCTTTCTTTTTTTGTGGCTTTTCTGATAATTAGTTTGCATTTATATAGCAGGGCTTAACCTGATACTTTTACTTTGATATGAAGTATAATACTATATAGCATGTAGTTTCTTTTTACCACGTTTTAAATTTTTAAAATTATTTAAATTTTTTTTTGTGGGTACATTGTAGGTGTATGTATTTATGGGCTACATGAGGTGTTTTGATACAGGGATGCAATGTGAAATAAGCACGTCATGGAGAATGGGGTATTCATCCTCTCAAGCATTTATCCTTTGAATTGCAAATAATCCAATTATATTGACTTTAAAATATACAATTAAGTTATTATTGACTACAGACATCCTGTTGTGCTATCAAATAGTAGGTCATATTTATTTTTTCTATTTTTTAATACCCATTAACCATTCCCACCTTCCCGTAAGTCTCTATCTACCCTTCCCAGCCTCTGGTAACCATTCTTCTACTCTCTATGTCAATGAGTTCAATTGATTTGATTTTTTGATCTCACAAATAAGTGAGAACATGTGATGTTTGCCCTGTGCCTGGCTTATTTCACTTAATGTAATGATCTCCAATTCTATCCATGTGGTTGCAAATGACAAGATCTCATTCTATTTCATAGCTGAGTAATACCCCATTGTCTATATGTACCACATTTTCTTTAATCATTCATTTGTTGATGGACACTTAGGTTGCTATTGTAAACAGTGCTTCAACAAACATAGGCGTGCAGACATCTCTTCAATATACTTATTTCCTTTCTTCTGTGTATATACCCAGCAGTGGGATTGCTGAATCACATGGTAGTTCAATTTTTAGTTTTTTGAGGAAACTCTAAACTGTTCTACATATTGGTTGTATTAATTTACATTTGCAGCAGCAGTGTATAAGGTTTCCCTTTTCTCCACACCATTTCCAGCGTTTGTTATTGCCTATGTTTTGGATATAAGCCATTTTAACTGGAGTGAGATGATATCTCATTGTGTTTTGATTTGCATTTCTCTGATGATCAGTGATGTTGAGTACTTTTCATATGCCTGTTTGTCACTTGTATGTCTTCTTTTAAGAAATGTCTATTCAAATCATCTGCCCATTTAAGATAGGATTATTAGATTTTTTTCCCTACAGAGTGTTTGAGCTCCTTACATATTCTGGATACTAATCCCTTGTCAGATAGGTAGTTTACAAATATTTTCTCCCATTCTGTGGGTTGTCTCTTCACTTTGTTGATTGTATCCTTTGCTGTGCAGAAGCTTTTTAACTTGATGTGATCCCATTTGATATGGTTTGTCTATGTCCCCACCAAAATCTCAACTTGAGCTCTGTCTCCCAGAATTCCCACATGTTGTGGGAGGGAACCAGGTAATTGAATCATGGGGGCCAGTCTTTCCCATGCTATTCTTGTGATAGTAAATGAGTCTCACAAGATTTGATGAGTTTATCAGGGGTTTCTGCTTTTGCGTCTTCCTCATTTTTCTCTTGCCACCGCCATGTAAGAAGTGCCTTTCGCCTCCCACCGTGATTCTGAGGCCTCCCAAACCCTGTGGAGCTGTAAGTCCAATTAAACCTCTATTTTTTTCCCCAGTTTTGGGTATGTCTTTATCAGCAGTATGAAAACGAACCAATATACCATTTGTCTATGTTTGTTTTGGTTGCCTGTGCTTGTAGAATATTGCTCAAGAAGTCTTTGCCCAGACCAATGTCCTGGCAATTTTCTCCAATGTTTTCTTGTAGTAGTTTCATAGTTTGAGGTCTTAGACTTAAGTCTTTGATCCATTTTGATTTGATTTTTGTATATGGTGAGAGAGAGGGGTCAAGTTTTATTTTTTTGCATATGGATATCCAGTTTTCCAAGCACCATTTATTGAAGAGACTGTCTTTTCCCCATCTTTTTAGCCTCTTTTCTGTGTCTCTTCTACTTTCCAATCTTAACAACATTATCTTTCTTTGTGTCTACCTTTGTACCCTTATATGGTTGAGCTTCTACTACTTAATTTGTCAGCTTTAAACAATATACTTTGACTTGAAACACTACATCTTTTCTTCCCTTATCATGTCAATTTCATTAGTTGCCATTTCTGTATTTTCAGATTATTCACCATTTACAAATCATTCTGCTACTTTTATCGCAGTATTTTTAGTGAAAATTTTACTATTAAATATATTCATCATTTATAGCCACCTCTTTAATGAGTTTTTCCTATCACTCACTAGATGAATGAAAATTGTTCTGTACTAAATTTTTCAGAAAGGCTCATCAATACAATGTTCCCTAATTGTCTTAATATTCAAAATTATCTGTAGCCTTTAGACTAGACAGCTTGAGTGCATAAAATATCTTTGGTCCACATTTTTTCCCCTTAAGTATCTTGAATATCTCTTTTCTGGTGTAGACTTTGTTATTACAAAAAACTTACATGAAATTTTCTTTTGCTTAAAAGTGACTCAGAATTTTTGTCTGGATGTCCAAAGAATACTTTATATATTATTACATTCCAATAACTTTAATAGGATATAACTTAGTGTTGACAACATTTCTGATAAGTTTTTGTTATCTGCCAGAATGTTGTATTGACGTTCATCTTACATCTCGTGGTGTCTTTAAGTGGAGGATGAACAAATTTATTTTCTAATATACATATTCAGATAGATTCTTCTGCACTAGTAGCAAGAGTTTTTTTGAAAGTGAGGACAGGAATATCCAAGGCTCTTTTTCAAACTTCATGGCTCAAAAATGTCTTTATCTGTTGTTTCCATGCACATCTCAAAATATGGCTTTTCTGCATGGTTGCTTTTACTCTGATCCTTACATCTCAGCTAGCTTTGGGAAGGTTTCTACCTCTTGGCCTGTTTTACAGACCTCTTTGCAAACATCATCTTCCAGCCTGGTGTACCCATATTTAGATGTTAATGTTTGCTAACATTTTCTAAAATCTGCCACCTCTGTACTTCCCTAAAATTTTCTATGCCTCTCTCTTCAGTGTTCCCAGATCCTGCCCTATTCAGTCAAGAACATCAAGTCTCAGCGTAAACTTTATTTTTCTTTTTCTCGAATATTAGCTAGAGATTTTTGAGACCTGCAGGCCTCAAGTCCTCCTCTCCCTTCCGTATTCATCCCCATGTCACCTTTACAACTTTTTGTGTGGATTTGTTAATTAATTACAATCTGAGAGTAGCATGTTGATCAATCAAGTTTATAGCACAATGGGCCGACGAACCACATAAGGTAGGTAAATATACTTCAAACAGTGAGACTAGGAAGTAGCATGTGGACTTGTATGCAAAAGGTAGTTTTTATGTGAGATTTGTATTGCTCTGCTAGCATTATTTAGGATAATACTAGCTGTTCTAAGGAAAAAATTAAAGAGACTGAAAAATAGGAAAGTTTGTTTCTTGCTCATGAAAAACCCCAGTGTGAGAGTTCTTGATTGGCATCCTTCATCCGCTTGATGATTTAGGGCATCTGTGCTTTTTCTACATTGTTGTTCTACCAGGCTGGGCCTCAGAGTCCTCCATATTCAGCTAGAAGAGGAAGAAAATGCAAGGTAGATATAGTCACTTTCTTAAGCCCCTGAACCCTGAATTGACACACACTCACTATTGCTCATATTTTCAGGTGAGAATTATTTATATGGTTCCACCTAAATGTAAAGCTGAGGGCTCTCCAGACTGTACAGGATGGAGAGCAGGTTCATAGGAACAACTCTAAATAATGGAAAGGAAACATAATATCTGATGCTATCTATTACTGTTCTCTTTATCATTCTATAAGGTTCCCAGGAGAGGTGGGAAGATTCAGAACTAATTTGCTAGAAAGAAAATCCCCAGAATAAGGTTTAATGTAGTCAAAAGTAAGAAGCCATCTGTCTTAAATATTCCTTGAAATATTAGTGTTTTATTGTTTTGTTTCTGCTATTAATTGATTTTCTTATCATGAAGCACTCAACTGGTGCTTTGCTTTTCTTCCACATACAAATGTTATATGCCACAGAGACTCCAAAGAGAACTCAATAATCACTACCGTTTTAAAGCGTGAATCTCAAATTTTGTGGGGACAAGCTAAGCATTAGCAACGCATGCTGAAAGCTCCTTTTTTGGTGTGTGTACTTTGTAATTTTTAATATAAAAACATAATTTAAAAAAAACTTTTATTTTAGATTCAAGGGGTACATGTGCAGGTTTACAACAAGGGTATACTGTGTGATGCTGAGGTTTGGTGTACAATTGAACCCACCACCCAGGTACTGAGTATAGTACCCAATAGGTAGTTTTTCACCTCTTGTCCCCCTCCTTCCCTCCCCTCTCTTGTAGTCTCCAGTGTCTATTGTTGCCATATTTATGTCCATGTGTCCCCAGCATTTAGCTTCCACTTATAAATGAGAACATGTGGTATTTGGTTTTTTGCTTTTGTGTTAATTCACTTAGGTTGATGGCCTCTAGCTGCATCCATATTGCCGCAAAGGGCATGATTTTATTCTTTTTTTATGGCTGTACAGTATTCCATAGTGTAAATGTACCACATTTTTAAAAATCAAATCCACAATTGGTGGGCACCTAGATTGATTCTATGTCTTTGCTATTGGGAATAGTCCTGAGATAAACATATGAGTGCATGTTTCCTTTTGGTAGAAGAATGTATTTTCCTTTGGGCATATACCCAGTAATGGGATTGCTGGGTTAAATGATAGTTCTGTTTAAAATTCTTTGAAAAATCTCCAAACTGCTTTCCACTGTGGCTGAACTACTTTATATTCTCACCAACAGTGTATAAGCATTCCCTCTTCTCCACAGCCTCACCAGCATCTGTTGTTTTTTGACCTTTTTAGTAATAGCCATTCTGACTGGTGTGAGATGATACCTCATTGTGGTTTTGATTTGCATTTCTCTGATGAGGAGTGATGTCATCATCATATGTTTGTTAACTACTTGTATGTTTCCTTTTGAGAAGTGTCTTTTAATGTACTTTGCCCAGTTTTTAATGGGGTTGTTTTTTGCTTGTCGATTTTAGTTTTTTACGGATTCTGGATATTAGACCTTTATCAGATGCATAGTTTGTAAATACTTTCTCCCATTCTCAAGTTGTGTGTTTACTATGTTGATGGTTTCTTTTGCTGTGCAGAAGGTCTTTAAGTAGTCCCACTTGTCAATTTTTTGTTTGTGTTACAATTGCTTTTGAGGATTTGGCCATAATTTTTTTGCCAAGGCCAATATCAACAAGGGTATTTCCTAGGTTTTCTTCTAGTGTATTTATGGTTTGGGATCTTACATGTAAATCTTTAACCCATCTTGAGTTAACATTTATTTATTTATTTATTTATTGACGAAGCCTCTCTGTCACCCAGGCTGGAGTGCAGTGGTGCAATCTTGACTCAATGCCACTTTCACCTTCTGGGTTCAAGCCATTCTCCTGCTCCAGCCTCCTGAGTAGCTGGGATTACAGGTGCCCACCACCACCCCCAGCTAATTTTTGTATATTTTAGTAGACATGGGGTTTCACCATATTGGCCAGGCTATCTGGAACTTCTGACCTCAAGTGATCTGCCCACCTCTGCCTCCCAAAGTGCTGGGATTACAGGTGTGAGCCACCATACCCAGCCAAATTAACTTTTGTATATCGTGATAGGCTGGGTTCCTGTTTTATTCTTCTGCATATTGCCAGTTATACTAGCACTATTTATTAAATAAAGAGCCCTTTCCCCATTGCTTATTTTTGTTGACTTTGTCAAAGATCCAATGGTTGTAGGTGTGTAGCTTTATTTCTGTGTTTCATATTCATTTCCATTAGTGTATTGGTCTGTTTTTGTGCTAGTATCAGGCTGCTTTTGTTACCATGGCCTAGTAGTATAGTTTGAAGTCAGATAATGTGATGCCTCTAACTTTGTTCTTTTTCCTTAGAATTGCTTTGGCTATTTAGGCTCTTTGTTCCATGCAAATTTTAAAATAGTTTTTCTAGTTCTGTGAAAAGTGACATTGGTGGTTTGATAGGAATAGTGTTGAATCTGTAAATTACTTTGGGCATTTTAACAACATTGATTCTTCCAATTCATGAGCATGGAATGTTCTTCTATTTATTTATGTCATCTCAGATTTCTTTTAGCAGTGTTTTGCAGTTCTCCTTATAGAGATCTTTCACTTCCCTGGTTAGATGTATTCCTAGGTATTTCATTGTTTTTTGGCTATTGTAAATGGAATTGTGTTCTTGATTTGGTTCTCAGCTAGAATGTTATTGGTGTAAAGAAATGCTACTGATTTTTGTACATTGATTTTATATCCTGAAACTTTACTGAAGTCGTTTTTCAGTTCAGGAGCCCTTTGGCAGGATCTTTAGAACTTTGTAGGTGTATTGAATCACATTGTCAGTGAAGAAAGATAGCTTGATGTCTTTTATTTCTTTCTCTTGCCCAATTTTTCTGGCTAGGATTTCCAGTACTGTGTTGAATAAGAATGGTGAGACTGGGCATCATTGCCTGGTTCCAGTTCTCAAGGAGAATGGTTCCAGCTTTTGCCTGTTCAGTACGATGTTGGCTGTCGATTTGTCACAAATGGTTCTTATTATTTTGAGGTATGCTCCTTTGAGAGCATGAGAAATTTTGTATCAATTTATGTAGTAACTACCTCAAGTGAAACATTTACAAGGTCTCCTTGCAAATGAATTGAATTGCAAAGCTTTGCTCATTTATATTGACCACTTCCTAGAATCATGAT
This sequence comes from Homo sapiens, assembly GCF_000001405.40. NCBI lineage: Eukaryota > Metazoa > Chordata > Mammalia > Primates > Hominidae > Homo > Homo sapiens. The sequence continues at coordinate 93,763,872 of NC_000007.14, read as the reverse complement.
TGTCAATAAAGAAGATAATTTGAGGCAAATCTATTAATTTAGGCATAATTACCTGAGATCTCTGATGCCAAGGTAAAGCGTTGGTTATAAAAGACTGGAACCCTGAGACATGGATTGGGAAAACCTAGGGTAAATGGGTGCACCTGAGAACTTTGAAGTCCTAAGTCCCCAGGAACTTTCTTTCAAAGTAGAAGCAGGCTTTCCTGTTCTCCAATGGAAGAAACATTCAATTGCATGAAAAACATCCAATGATATTGCCCTAGGAATGTTGCCTCATAAAGGAATGCCAAATCTCTACATGACTCCTAGACATTCTTATTTTGTCTAGGTCCCAAATAAGACCGAGTTCTCATTACGGACCAAAGAAGTGGAAGGCATGCTTAAGCACATTATAGCTTACACACAAAAGACATGATAGGTGTTTGTTTGTTTTTTTTTTTTCAATTTATGTTAGCAGTGAAGAAACATGTATGAGAATAGAACAAATTCTTGAAATATTAGAACAGATTGTAGGTAGACTAGGCCCGATTTGTTGACATGAGACTTAATGTTTTGCCTTGAGTACCTTGAAGTATTATATATGCTAGTTTGATTAATGGAGGATTAAGCTTTCCAATAGCCTACATTTGGTGAGGTTGAAATGCTAGAACTTCCTTGATGCAGTGTAGAGCAGGAGTTGGCAAACTATGGTCCACAGGCCAGATCCAACATACTACCTGTTGTGAATAGTGTTATTGAAAGCCACGCCAATTGTCTATGGCTGCTTTTATAGCACTGCCTATGGCAACACTACAATAGTGAGTTGAACAACTGTGACGGAGACTGACTGGCTCACAAAGCCTAAAATAATCACTATCTGGCCCTTTATAGAAAACGTTTGCTGAGTCCTGATGTAATGAAAGGGGTTTGTAAGGTCTGGAAAATGGAAACGGTGGGGTAGATCTACTGTGTGCAATCTAATGATCAGCCCCTAACTATGGCTCCTGGGAGGATCTAAAAGACACATCTTTCATTAAGAAATTAAGAGATTCATTGTTGAGGGAAGCATTCACTTTGAAAAACACTGCAATAGTTGTGCTCTATAGATAAGTTCCATAAGTGGAAGGGATCTGGTGACAGTGTTTAAGAGACAGTTGAGTACAATTTCCTTAATTAGCCCAAGACTGAATGATAATCAAGGTGTTTTAGACCCACACAAATTTGTGATGAAGTCTAATTAATCGTATAGTCCCTAGGGATAAAATAAGTGGGCAGTTGTTGAACAACACAATAAGCTGAAAAATTCCAGATCTAGTGGGAAGAAACCCAAATTTATAGCCTCCTACTTAATTCACAGACATAAGCCAGTTGCTAGTCCTGAAACTCCTTGAATGAGAGGTACTCCACAATATAAACTGTGCGGAGAGGTACTCCGCAATATAAACTCCGAACCTTACCCAGGTGACCTGCAGATATTTTTCCAATGTGACTGTACTAAGAAAAGAGAAATACCTAGAATTTCTGAGGACAGTTAGACACTAACTCTCAACTAACACAAATCCAAAACACAAATGTAATCCTTCGATTAATGTTGGGGCATATGATGGTCAGATGAAAGACTGATTTGATAGAAAGATACCACACACAGAAATCAAAAGCAATTCTATGTACCTTGGAGTATTCAACTATATTTCCAATAGCAAACTGACAAGCCCTTGGCACTTTTTTTTTGTTTTTTTTTGTTTTAGATGGAGTCTTGCTCTGTCACTCCAGCTGGAGTGCAGTGGCACGATCTCGGCTCACTGCAACCTCTGCCTCCTGGGTTCAAACAATTCTCCTGTCTCAGTCTCCCGAGTAGCTAGGACTACAGGTGCATGCCAACACGCCAAGCTAATTTTTGTATTTTTAGTAGAGATGGGGTTTCACCATATTGGACAGGCTGGTCTTGAACTCCTGACCTCAGGTGATCCACCGGCCTCAGCCTCCCAAAGTGCTGGGATTATAGGCATGAGCCACTGTGCCCGGCCAGCAGTTCTTATGTAGATACTGACTTAGAAAATGCTTTTTTGTCTTATCCCAATAATTAAAAATAATCAAAAGAATGCCAATATAGCAGGAAGAGCAGCATACTTTCATTGTCCTACCTCAGAGTGATGTCAGCTCTCTTGTTCTCTAATATTATATTGTCCAGATCATTTGGATATCTTACAGAATATTATACCACCCATTATGTTGATGTCATGTGTTTGTTAGACCAAGTGAGCATAAAATAAGAGGAGCCATAAATGCCTTAAAACACAAGCATAAGAGAGGACATACAATAAATCCTATGAAATTTTTACCATATCAGAAAATACCTAGGAGTCCTTTAGTCTGAGGCATCTCAGGTGTCTCCTCTAGAATTAGAGAAAAGTTGCAGCACATTACACTGTGTAAAGAATCACAGTATTTATCAGACTTTGAAATTTGGATGCAACATGTATTATTCCGTAGTTTACTATTCCACTCATTTAAAGGGAACCCACAAGATTGCAAGATTTAAGTTTGATTCAAAGCAAGAGAAGCTCTGCACAATATGACATAAGCTGTACTACCACTTGAGCTTATATCCAAGCAGATTCAGTGGTAATGAATGTGCAACACATCAATATTTCATATAGTAGCTTTTGCCAGTCCCAAAGAACAACCACAGTATAGAATTACCTCTAAGGTTTGTAGTAAGACCATTCCTTCCTCTGCTCAGGACTAGTCTCAGTTTGAAAATTCAGCTCCTGGCCTACCTCTGAACGTCAGTAAATAGCAAATATTGAACCCAGGAATACAAAAGGACTACACTACCCAAACTGCTCATCATAAATTTTTATTTCTATTTTTATTTTTTTATGTTTTTTGAGACAGAGTCTCACTCTGTCACCCAGCCTGGAGTGTAGTGGTGCGGTCTCAGATCACTGTGAATTTTGTCTCCCAGGTTTAAGCGATCACCCTGCCTCAGCCTCCAAAGTAGCTGGAATTATAGGTGCATGCCACCACACCCGGCTAATTTTTGTATTTTTAGTAGGGACGGGGTTTCGTCATAGTGCCCAGGCTGGTCAAACTCCTGACCTCAAGTGATCCATCTGCCTCGACCTCCCAAAGTACTTGGATTACAGGCATGAGCCACCCTGGCCCTATCATAAATTGAGTATCATTTGATCAGTTGAAATAAGAATGGGAAGCATGCCATTCTTCACTGGACACATTGCACATATGATATGGGCTCTAGCATTTCAGAAGGGATAAAAATTTGCATTAACAGGGTTCTCAAGGTCCCTGTTCCTATTGCTTATTTGTCTTGAACTTATCCACACCTACGGCTTTATAGAAAGTTCCCTATGACCAGTTATCCAGTGAGGAAAACAATGTGGTCTGTCTTATAGTTAACAGAGGTAGAAGTGGGGTGTCATGCTGAGCCCCTATTGACTCCAGTGGGGATGGCATCAGGTTTAAGAAGCCGAGGAAGAGACCCAGAACCAGCAAACAAGGCATGGCGTTTTACTGGGGGATTACATAGAGGGGAGGAGTCCACTGGCGGTGGGCTGGACAGGAGAACCACACAGCTTGCAAAAAGCATGCAGTTTATACATCATTTTCACTTATCATCCTACCATTAGCAGTTTCCACCTGGAAAACTTCAACCCATAACAAAGGACCTTGAACCCGTGTATCTGAGAGGATCAGACAAAGGATGGGGGTTAGGGGACTCAGATGTTCTTCATAGATGAATAATGAATTTCCAGGTCAGCCCCTCCCAGATTCCTTAGTTCAGAACTCTGAACTGCATTGAGGTGTGTTTACCATACAGGGGGTTTTCTCTGCATGATATTCTGGCATCAGCCAAAACCTGATGGCTTTCACATAACAGAGTTCTTCAGTGTTGGCTTGAATGACAGCAATGAAATAAATCATTTTAGTTGTTCTGCTTGTCCACAATTCATAGGAGGAGAATTGGCCTGAAGTATTGATTTACACTAAGACTATTTCATCAGCAACTGCAATGATTTTGTAAGTCTTTAAATATGCTGTAATAAATCTATCTCTGCTCAAATTCATTCAAGAGCATTCCAGTCTCTGCAACTGAACCTTGAGCAAAAATATTTAACTAATATTTTGTGACTTAACTGTATAATATATTATGTTTTTTGGTTTTAAAAGCATTACAGTCAAATGGAGTACACAAAGAACAATTGTTACTGCTTTTATTTGTACATATATATGTATATGTGTGTGTATGTATGCATGCGTGTATATATATATATATGTCATGCATCACATAACAAATTTTGCTTTATGGTGGACTGCATGCACTGTGGTGACTCCATAAGATTATAATGGAATTGAAAAATTCCTATTGTCTATTGGCCTTGTAGCCATAGTGACTTTGTAGGGCAATTATTTTTTTTTTATAAATTTAGTGTAGACTAACTGTATAGTGTTAATAAAGTCTACAGTGTCATGCTATCATGTCCTGGGCCTTCACATCATTCACTCAGTGACTCACCCAGAACAACTTCTGGTCCTGCAAGCTCCATTCATGGTAAGTAGCCTATACAGGTGTACCATTTTTTACCTTTTCTATGTTTAGATCTGTTAAGATACTAAAGTTACAAGATGGTAAGATACAAATACTTACAATGGTAAGATACAAATACTTACCATTGTGTTACAGTTGTCTACAGTATTTAGTACAGTAACATGGTATACAGGTTTGCAGCCTAGGAGCAATAGGCTATACCATATAGCCAAGGTCTGTAGTGGGTTGTACCACTTAAGTTTGTGTACGTATGATGGCAATGCATGGCTGTATGTGTGTGTGTGTGTGTGTGTAGTTGAGCTAATGCAATCTCTATGTTGACAGGCTGGTGGGGCTCTTATATCTTGGGAAAAATGCTTTTAGAAAAATAATTTCTCAGACCCTAAAAACAGAGGTGAATTTGACAAGTCAGAATTCATCTTTTTGGCAAGAACCACAGAAGTTAAACATTATCTTTTAGTTAATAAGTCAACTATCCTGAATGCTTGGAGTCATAAAATGTCTAAGCCATAGTGCATTGGGAATTTTAAACTGCAGCTTTACATGACCTGTATGAATGACTAAAATATTGATGTGTTACTCTGGAAAGAACATTAACTTCCATTCCTAAATTTAAATCAGTGTTGTCTAGCTAGCCTGAAAAATAAACTACCCTTGAGGAAGTAGCAGCAACTAATACACACTTCATTTGAGCAAAGGAAAGAAAACTATAAATTAAATAATGTACCGGTCTTGTTTTCTGGCAACTTTCAGGCCAAATATGCCTCCTTTGGAAATATCGGTACAAAACATGTAAATAATGACATTTAATCTATTTCTTTAAAAAAATAATAAAACTTCCCTTTCAAAGGTTGAACAATGTTTTTGTCTAGAGTATAAGGTGGCAATTCTGGAATTAATTAATTGTCTATTAAATTTCTTCAGGGCATGATAAATAATACTGATAATAATATCTATTAGCATTTGGCAAGTCCCTGCTTTGTGACTGGCTCTGTATTCATTGCCTCAGATAATTTAAATAATCATGGAAAATTATGAGATAAAATCTGAACCTGGTTTGTCTGGCTCCAAAACTTGCAATATTTCTCAGTGCCACTATATATATATATATATATACACATATATATATACATATATATGTATATATGTATATAAACATGTGGAAATGCATTTGAAAAGATATTTCATAAAAATGAAAAAGTGATTTAAGTACTGATTTACTGCAGAAAATAGTGTACCATTCATGCTACTTAAGTGACCATGATGTTAGGATGATAAATATGAGATAAGTATGCTGTGATTTTTTCATATCTAGGCCCAGCTCTGGGCTAAGCTGTTGGAGAAGTAAAAATATTATGTCTTTTTTTTTTTTAACATTCGATCACTTCCTGGTGCAGAATTCTTCAAACTTGGAAGAAGTCTTCTGCCCTTCTCTGGTTCATCAGGAACTTTCCACTTTGGTCTCCTACATTCTCTACTCCCTTGATAATGCTCCATGCTCTAAAATTACATAACATTTCCCTTGTCAAGCACCAAAACTATCATTTCCTAAAGAGACTTCTTCTCAAGGAATTGTTAGAGGGAAGTGTGAGAAAAGTATGTACTTCTTTGTGTCTCCTATCAGCACCCACTCAAGAAAACCCACTGCAGCAGAGATGCCAAGAAGTCAGATGGGTAAACTGACTCATCTTGTGGCTACTAGCCAACTTCTCTTCTCATCGTCATAGTGTTTTCACAATGGGTACATGAATGGAATAGTCTGGTGGCCAGGATAGAAGTATGGACAAACCTAACAGTATGTATTTGCTCTCATCAAGACTGATCACTGAATTTCCCCAATAGCAGCAAAAATTAACACTGAATCCTCCGTATGGTCCTATCTCACCTATAAAATAAACCCATCCCACTCCTTGATAGCAATGAGTATATCTGACCCTTTCTGCCCTGGAGGAGATAGTAACTCTCCTTACTAAGACTGATATGTATTCCAGTTACGGGGGATTGCTTTTTCTACCCAAAAAGCCTTGGCCGGGTGAGTCCAAGGACTCAGAGGATGTCTGACTGATCATTGTGTGGTACTGCATAATGTTGCTTCGCAAGAAGGAATCCACTGGTCCACTGCCTATCAGATGCTGGACTTACAGAAGGTTGGCATGGCTTCTTGGAGTGGCAGCTGAAGCACTAGCATAAGGATGACTTGCGGGGTTGGGCATGTTATAGTGCTGTTGTATGCAGAATATTGAGGCATGGAGCCAAAAAAAAAAAAAAGGAGATAACAGTGATTGCACTCATTATCATTCCAAGTGATCTAGTTGAGCAGTTCTTGTTTTCTTTACACATACATTTACATAGTCATCTGATGCTCTTCAAATCTACTTCATAATGGAGGGAGAGAGAAACATGTCTGAAGCTTGAGGGATTCACTGGGGTGTCTATTTGCTTCCACATCCAATGATAGTCAGAAATAGGCATTTATAGCAATCATGGCCTGAAAAGGGTGTAATAACCATATGAGTTCAGACCTTTGAGTGATGAAGGTCTGAGTCTCCCCACCAGGCCAACAAAGTACTGACTGAGGGTTGAGGGGAATGTAGGAGTAGTTCAGGAGGAAGATGATGAATAACAGTTTTCGGTTCAGAAACAACCACACACAGCTTGTCCCACTAGATCCTCTTTTTTATAAATTGTTATTGGTCACTGCTTTAGAGAAATAATAACAGGACATAATCACCTTAACATAGGATATGTATGAATCTGAATATGAAAAGTGTGGACTCTAGCCCATACTGCCAGTGCCTGATTCATTTCACTCTGGCTTTACCATTACAGTGAACTCCAGCTGACTTCCAGTCCTTTCAGCTGCTAATATCTGGATCTCTTTGCTTGAGGGCTTTCACAAAGTGATGCTCTAAAAATACCAAGTCTCCTTAGATTAGAATATAAGCTCAATGTAAACCCATCCAAAAATCTATCCAAATATATATGGTAGAATTAATATAAAGTATATATATATATATACACACACATATATATATATACACATATATATACATATATATATATATAAAATGAACAAGCTAATTCTAAAGTATGTACAGAAATTCAAAAGGCCAATAATAACCAAAGAAAGTTTACAGATAATGGGAAAAATCCAACGAGAACTATTGTAATGCTCTAATGTCCAAGACAGTGTTGTATTAGTGAACAGGTAAACAAAAATACCAATACAGAAAAGGATTCACAAATATATGATGAAAACCCATCTGCGGAATGGAAAGAGGATGGGCTTTTCCAAAATGATGCCAAATCAATTGAAGATCACTACAGAAGAAAATATATTGACCCATTCCTCAAAACATGCATAAAAATTAAGTTGACATGAATTATAGACCTAAATGTAAATGAAAAAATATAAAGGTTTTGGGAGGAAACATGAATAAAGCTTCATGATCATGGGGTAAGCAAGGATTTCTTCAACAGTATGCAAAAACACTAACCACATAGGAAAAATGCAACATACTACACTACATTAAAATGAAGAACTGTATAATAAGATCTGCTGTTCATCAAAAAACCCCACTAAGAAAATGTAATGGCATGCCATAGATTGGAGAAAAGTTTAGAAGACTTATATTGGACAAAGGATTTATGTCCAGAATGCATAAATACCTCTTACAAGAACATTTTTAACAGATAGAAAAACCAGTAAAAATTCTGACAAAATACGTGGATAGGTATCTCATGAAAAAAATTATACACAAATGATCAGCACACATATGACAAGGTGCCCAACTTCATTAGTCATCAAAGAAGTACAAAGTAAAACCACAATTTTATATTTATGCACGTTTACCAAAACAGCTAATCAGAAATGGCATACAACATCAAGTGTCGGTAAGGGTGAAAAACATTTAACACACTTTTAATTGACTTGTGGGAGTGAAACTGATAAAATTACTTGGGAAATCAGGTTAGTTAGTATCCACTAAATTTGAAGTCATGCAAAACCTAGGACCCAGCAACTTCGCCACAGGTGTGATCACAGTAGAAATGAGTACATATGTGCTCATTATTGCACATGTATCAAGGACATGTGCAATAAGTTTTATAGCAGCATTATTAAAAAACAGCTAAAAACTGGAAACAGGCTCAACGTTTGTCAACCATAATATTAATTGTAATGTATTTTTCCAATGGAGTATTAAGCGACACAAATGAACAAATTATTACCATAAAAAACAGCATGGATGAAATGCACAAAAATAATCTTGTGAAAAAGATTATTTTTTAAATAAATAAATAAGAAAAAGAAAAAGCTAAAAATAAGAATAATTACTGTATAATTCCACACATAAATTTCAAAAAGCAGTAAAAAGTAAAGTGTTAAAAATCAGGATAAAGGTTATATTAGGGATTGTTAATGGCCCCATGGAGTTTCTGGGGTATAGGTAGTATTCTCTTTCTTGATATGGATGCTGCTTATACATGGGAGTATGTTCACTCGGTGTGCATTTATGTATTATAGTATAATATATGCATATACTATATGTATATATTGCATATATACTTTGTACACTTCTATGTAATGGTACATTTAAAGAAAACTTTAGAAAGTTATGTTTTATAAAAGAAATAAATATAATTTCAAGTGTCTGAGTCAGAAAAATTAGGCAATATTAAGTCACTGTAAAGACAGAACACATGGCGAGGCATATTTCATAAAACTATAATCATATGTGTATCACTGGGAAGTCAATGTCACTCTAAAATAGTAACAGTGGCTTTCCTAAACAACGTTACCAAAATTAAAGCATTCTTTTAAGTTACTTTTCAAGAAAAGTTTATAATGTAGGCAACAGAAAAGGGATATTAGTGTCTGGTTTGGGAAATTTAACTGCTTTAGAATATTGCCTAAATTCAATGTAAAATACAGAGAGCTATTCTTCTTGCTAACATTCTGTGGAAATATGCAGTCCCATATTTCAAAATATCTTTCAAACGCAATCTGTTATTGCAGAGAATGAATAAACTAAAACCTTCATTTAATTCTGAAATAGCACCAGATGTGGAAGGGGGAAGCCTTTCATTTGTTTTCCGAAGGGTAATATAAAATTAACAAATAGCTTAGATGTTCACCCACAACAATCACTGTGAAATAGAAGACCACATGTAACATGTGCCAAATGATCTGTGATAAAGTGTGGAAAACGTTCTGATGAAGGTTCAGAACGGCATATCCCTCCAAGAAGAAGATGGGCTTACTATTATGGCAATATACCCCTTAAAAGTACTGTTTTATAAGTAAAATAATTATTTTTGATGATTTATGTGAATATAAGGACAAATATTTCAATAGATATATACACTATAAATATAGGTTACTTTTTAGGTAATAAACTTACAAGGATTATTTCTACATATTTTACAGTAGGCAGACAGATCTTCCTCTTTAAAGAACAAAAATCCTGTCATGATTTGATCATAAATAAATTCTAAAAAGAATCCTCAATATTTCCATTTTGACACTGTCGCTCCTTTAAAGTGCTTTTCATTTTGAAGTAGTACAATCTAGTGATTGGGAGCTTCTACCAAGAAGTAAAATTGACCTAAGTTTGGACTCAGTTGCCTTTCTTGCATGTTATGTGGTCTTTGGTAAATAATTTAGCCTTGCTAATCCTCGACATTATTATCTGGAAGTAGCTGCAAATTATTTACTTTAAGCTTACAGATATAAAATAGTTAGCACAGTATCCAGTAATTAACATGCATATTAGATTGTCTTACTTTCATTGTAAGATATGTTAATCACCTTATACTTCCAAGCTTAGTCTTTCAGAAATATGTTGATTTATCTTTAAAATCATGGGTCTAAATCTTTCTCCTTGTTTTCCTCATCAGAGCTGAGGGGTTGACACTATAAAAACAACCCAAAACAGTATTTGCTCAAAACTTGAAGGAACCAAAAAAGAAAATCATTATATAATTGTATACATAAACTATCTTATCCAAAGATTGGTCTTTTGGTCTCCTGAATCCCAATGAAAGCAAAGTATATTTTAATAAATTTCATACTCCCCATTTCCCTAACCTCAGGCGGGCCCTGAGTGTAATCTTTTCTCTAATGTTTTGGAGAGGCTGCAGTGGAGTAAAGGAATACACATTTTTTAAACTTTGCAAGTGGTCCAAATCTGTAGCCAGGCGTAGGAATCACTGAATAAGATCAACTAACCTAAATCACTATGAAACAATCCATGGTGACTACTGAAATGGATCTTCCCTTCCCACTTCTCTTCCCAAGACACAAGCACTGGGAACAAATCGTGTTCGAGTCTTTGCTTGTACCTTAGCCATTTTGCATCATAACATATTCACAAAATAAGAATACCCTATAAGAGAAAGAGAGGTGTTTTCATCTGATGCATACCCACTACTCCTTTCCTCCACCATCTTCTATGTCTCATAGATATTTTGTTCTAAAAGGGCTTCTTGGTCTGTAAATAGCTGAGTTTCAGATGTTATTTGCAAGATATATTTAAGATAATTCCTTTGAAGTCATGGGTGTGATAACTGGATTTTAGAAGTCAAAAAGAGAACACTACTCATTGTAGAGAAAGTTATCAAATTTGTTCAACTATAATTTCTTTCATCTTTGATAAGAGGATAAAATAGCTCTAGTAAACAGCCTTTGAACTTACTGTTTAATTTCAATATTCTTTTGCTCTGGTATTTATGTATTCTAAATATTTTTTAAAAAGTCACCCAAAATTACTTCCAAATTCCTTACATCCAAAACTTGCCCATTAAATAATGACTAATGGCCAAATTAACAGAAGGTATTTTTATTTTTAAATTGCTAAGACAGTTCAAAATAGTGCAATATAACACAATGGTTTGGTATTTAGTTTTGAAATCAGAATCTTGAGTTCAAGTACTAATTATCCCACTTACTCATTCACTGAACTTGGAAAATTTACTTAGCCTTTTAATCTCTTAATCTAAGAAACAGCCCAGGTTTCTTAGGAAAACCATGGCAAAATGCATTAGTGATTTGGCCAGACCATGCCGATAGCTTGATTTGCTGGGACATTTTCAGAGAAGTCGTATCTTATTCTAATACTCTCTATCTAAACAATCTATCCATAGGAAGAAGGGAGATAAATTTATCTTTTCAGTCCCATTTCCCATTGGTAAAGGCTGATCCTCATGAACTGCTGCACAAATATAAGACCCATTAGTTTCTTAGACAACTCGTGCCTCAGAAGCTACAGGGAAGACTCAGTGTCCATAAGCTATAGAATGAACATGGAGCAACCACTCTATAATTAATCCTTCACCTGTAATGTTGGCAGTGACAACAGGTGGCGGTAAAAGTGTATCAGTCAGCTATTATTACAACAGTGCTGCCTAATAAGTCATCCCCAAATCCAAGGGCTTAAAATAATAAGCAATTTTGTTTACGTAGGCTGGGTTCAGCTGGGCAGCTTTGTTTTAGAATGCAAATCAGCTGTATTTGGCTCTAAGCTATGGGGTCATGCCTTGGCTTTAGGCTGAAGTGTTAAAGCTATTTAGGATATGTTCTTCTCATGAGAGATTATCACAACACGAAAGTACCAGTCTTACCCATGAACACAATTCAGGTTTCTGCTTGCTTTGCATCTGTTAACATTCCACTGGTCAGATCAAATTACAAGTCTCAGGCTAAAATCAAATGGTGAGAAGATAATGCTCCAACCACCATGAAGTCATGGCAAGGGTGTGGAAGAATCATTGTTTAATAGCAGAGCTAAAAATTTGGACCACTCATTCAATCTACCACAACAAAGAGACCTATCTTCATAATTATAAGAGCAGCACAAACTGTTCTGGGGGCAACTCAGACCAGTGATCAAGGCAAATGCTCAGATCTCAGTAAAAAATTAAATGCTTCCAGTACTCAATAGTGCATACTTTTTCCATCTGTAAAATAGAAATAAAAATAATCCTAAACTCATAGGATTTACCTTTAGAATTTTCAATAAAATCCCTTGCAGGAAACAGCTTTTAACACAATATCTGGCATGGTGTTTAAGAAATGTTACACACTTCCCAAACAAAACATCCAGTTAGCTGCATTTCAGATATATGCCACTGGGTATGAGAGTGAGTAAACAACAGGATGCATGTGTTTAGTTTATTTCAACTTGTTATTGTAGGAAAATAACTCCAACACTTTCATTCGTCATCATGTTGGGTTAATATTATAGCACAATCTTTTTGATGCAAGATAGCATGTTTGAAATGAGGAAACATGGCAGGGAATCCCTTAGCTATCCTTGTCACCTTTAGGAGGTTGTCCTGCATTACCCTTTGATTAATTTCAGCTGTGAAACAAGGCTACTTCTGGTATAAGCATCTGGTCTTTGCAATCTCTGAAAAAGAGGGAATTGAAGTCGATCCAAGAAAGTATAAGTTCCCGAGAGTCATAATTTCAAATTCAGTAGTAATTAAAGAAAAACAATGCTAAAATGTCAGTGTGGCAAAGTCACTTTGGATGATCAAAATGTAGTCTCTGATACATCTTGCTGAGGTACTTCAGTCTTCAACAAAAACACTGTTCTGTAATGTCTCTAATGCTCCTCCGAGGTTCAGGATATTTTCTATGACTTCTAGTTACTTTTCAGAGAAACTTGACTGTTCTGTTAGAAGTAAATTTTTGGAAAAGAGCTTATAATCACTGTCCTGTTTTATTGTGTTTCCTTTCCCTTTAACTTGTAATGTTGTACTTTTATTTATTGCCTATTTTTTCCGCCAAATTTTCCTTAATTGTCATTACACATTAGATTTTTCTGTCACTTTTTCTAATACAAATGGCTATTAGAGTTCTGGTTTTGTATCTGACTGCCATTTGGTTTTGTGTTATTCCTGGTCTTCTTTGGACAAAATTGTGATTTAACCTAATTATTCTCAGCATCATTCTGTTTCACTCCCTCCTTGTCCCTTGAAATTTTATTAAGAGAGGTATTTCTGATTAGTCACTTACATTTTAATGATCAGGTGACTCAGCATGTGCCATCTTCTTAGATATTAGACAAAATTTTAAGCTCTTTGAACTCAGGTGATATTTGAAGATACTTCTTTGGAGCCTTTATCAAGGCCTAGAACTTAGCATGCTCTCAAATACTTATTCATGACATCAGATTCAGAAATTAATGTAATATACCAGTATCTAGAGTTATTATACATACAGCTGAGTAAATGTAATTTCAAAAGCAGATTGATTGTCTACATTCTATTTGTGGGAAGATCATGGTACTCTGTGGGAACCAGGAAATCCTGGTCACACTCCTTGTTGTTAACATCATTTGAAATTTCTGGGTAAGTTTCCAGTTCTGAGATAAGTCACTAAGAACCTCTTCATAAGCACGTTTTAAAATCATCTGTCTAAATTTGTATTTTAGGGTTCTACAATGTACACAACAGTGTGGAGAACATTTTCATAAATATCAAGTAGTTTAGCTATTCTCCTTTGTTCTGATGTGGAAATATTGGCTCTCACTGGAAAGGAAAAATAAAGTTCTAGGGCTAGACATATTTGCAAAATAATACATGTAAGAATAACATAGCACAATGAGGAAATTTGTTTTAAACTCTCATAGCTGTATCTGAATTAATCAGGTACTTTTCAATTGGAAAATACAGAAATCTAAGTCAACTAGATTAATTAAAATAATAGAAGTTATTGAGTGATGTCATTGGAAAGTTCAAGAGACTTTGGATATGGTTGGATCCAGATTTACATGATGACATTAAGAGTCTGTCTGTTTAAGTATCTCTCTACACTGCTTGCTGTATTGTTGGCTTTAGTCTCAGACAAGGGTAATCACAGGAAGCCCAAGACTTGCATTGTTCTCACAACTTGTGGTCTCATAAGAAAGAGGCAACTGTGTCTGCACTAACATTCATATCAATTTCTGAGAAGAACTTTGATGAGCTCTTCCTTGGGCTACATATACTCTCTTTCATGAGTGAGTTGGGGCTATGCAATTTACTGCCCCAAATGAATCACATAGAATTGAGGAGAGACACTTCTGAAAAAGAAAGTGCTTTAGGAAACCAACTAGAAATAGAAGTCTATTACATCACTGAAGTATTTATATATTTAAGTTTTATGGGATTGCATAAAATCAATAATTTAGACTATTTGTAAATAGTATGCCTATGCTAAGAAAACATTCTATGTACTGAGAATTTTCTCGGTATACTGTCAACTTTTAAGTCATAAAACACTGTTATAGAGAAAGCAATGTTATAACAGACCCTTATAAATTAGGTACTCTTGGTCTTAATGCATGGCAAAGCTGCTGCATGTTAAAATTTTTATATGCTATGCCACTTTATCTGCAATATACTGAGTTTATATGTTTTGATAATGGTTTTATAATTTACTCTATTTCAGGATGAGTTCAGAGTATAATAAAATATTTAATATATAACATTATGTAATTCAGTTCTAGGCAACATATTTTCTGTGAAGGGCTAACTAGTAAATATTCTAGTTGTGAGGCATAAGCATTCAGTTGCAATTACCAACTCTGCCATCGGAGTCCAAGAGAAGTCATAGATACATAAATAAATGAGTGTCACTGTGTTTCAATAAGACTTTACTTAGAAAAACAGTAGTAGACTACATTGGACCCATGGCCTATAGTTTGCAAACTTAGTGAACTTGGTGAATATTCAGTATTTGCACACAGTGAGTCACAATACACATGGAGAGAATCATGACCTCCATTGAACATCTGTGTTAATCACACACAATTCTAATTTAAAGGAAGTCAATATTTTTCCCTCTCATTTATGTCAAGTAAATTGAGAGTTTTCCTAAAAAGTAATTATAACAATTGTTAACATTTTTGTTTTAGCTTGTAACACTCTTGTCTTAATCTGTTTGTGCTGCTATAACAGAATACATAAGACCGGGTAATTTATAAAGGACAGAAATGTATTTTCTCGCAGTTCTGAGGTCTAGGAAATCCAATACCAAGATATGGTGTCTGGTGAGGGCTGCTCACTACTTCCAAGATGGTTCCTCCCAAGGGGAGAAGCCTGAGTTCTCACATGGCAGACAAGAACAGAAGAAAGCAAACCCACTCACAAAAGCCCCTTTTTATGAGAGCACTAATCTATCCATGAGGGCATTCTCATGGCCTAAACACCCCCAAAAGGCTCCACTTCCCAATGCTGCTGCAGTGAGAATCAAGTTCCTAACACATGAATTTTAGGGAACACATTCAGACCATAGCAACTGTTATGAGAAACTGCATTATTACTTCCTCAGAACAAACCTGCCTGACACTCTCTTTCTAGTCCACGTCTTTCCCATCCACTCTCCTCACTCGGCAGGGCATAAAATAGACTATTTACTTTAAGGAGTCTAGTTATAATCACTCTGGGAACATCAACATAAAACAACACAAAAAAATTTTTCTGACCTCTCATACTCATAAATCCTAATATATTTTCTGATACACATAAAATTCTTCCATTGTCTTTTAAAATAGAAAAATTATAATGCATTCATAGTTCCTTGACAAATCCCATCTAATTTGCCTGAGTATTCCAAAAACACATCAATATATTACATAAAAATTTAATCGCTTAATACTAATGAATTTATTGATAGGCATGTTTATGTTCAACATGCAATGATAAAGCATAGCATTGTATACAAATCACTTTTTCCTGTCATAAACAGAAAATGTATTATAAATAAAAATATGAACAAGTACATAATTAATGCAAATAACACTTAGCAAAATAAAATAAGCAAACAAGGCAAGAGTTAATAAATGATTACTTCATATAAAAGCATTGCCTGGGTGAAGGTTGGTGACAAGAAGAGGAAATGGGAGTAAAAGTCTTTCTTGTTTAATGTTGGATGAATGGAGCAAGAGTGAGATGGGGAGGTTAGTGAAGTGGTAATTTCCGAACGTGTTCAAATCCAACAAATTGTGAATTGTCTTTTCTTTTAGTATTAGTCTCTGAATATGGAAGGCTGTCAAACATTGTCGAAAGACATAAAAAAAAGCAATGAGATTAAAAGCAAATAAAAATTCAAAACAGATGTGTTGGGACTCTGCTTATGCTTACACAGCTCCTAATAATGAGACAGCATTTTTTTAATGTGATGTGACTGTTTGTGCTATAATTATTCTCTTATGCAACAGCAATTTTTGAATTCTTCATTTCAAATTTATTTTAAAAACTTGGCATTAAATATTTTTGTCTACTCTATTTTCCTCTATAGCAAACAATAAGCATCAAATTGAGAAATTTGTTTGTTAGGAGTTCTTTGCAAAGTGGTCCTAAACTTCAATATTTTTATTGTCCACAACAAAAATTCCAGTTTCCTGAGTGAGATGTAATTTGCTTTGTGTTGATTAATCCTTGCCTTGAAATCTTGAATGTCATTGTGAGTTAGAGGAATACATTTGTTCCACATTTTGTTCTTAGCCTGTCATCATATTTTTTTTTCAAAACTGACTGGTGAATTTGATTTCTTGATGTCAAATCTCTTACATTAATCCACCATTGAGGTAGTGTCATTGGTCTCAGCCTTAGCATGAGATACATCATCATCAATACATGCAAAATGCTTGAAATTTGCCATAAATATTTGGTTGATTGGCTGCAATTAGGCAGTTTCACAAATATCAACTAATAGGGAGATATTTTCACCACAATTGATAGCACTATGAAGTTTCCTGGCTGCATTACCTGTTATCAAAAGGCCTCATTTGTAAGATATTTCTTCTTTATTGTATGTTTTCTGATGAATGGCAGGAAATAGTTCCTTGCATGATCATTTAACATGCTCCCCATTACACATAGAAAGCCATTACACATTTGAAAGCCATATACTGTAACATTCCCTTAATCTCTCTATGGGTTGTACAAATAATATATTAATAACAAATTGAGCTTAATATCCAGATTTCTGTTAAAAAAATAAGCCTTCTTTGAAGCTTTATTTTCTCACACTTTTTCTTGTTGTCTGTGATGAAGATGAGATGGCATTTCTGTCCAACAAAATAAAAGGTCCAGTAAAATCAAGATTGAAAACTTGCTTGGCTTTATAATCACTATCATCAACTATTTTCTTTTTTATTTTTCTATTACACTTTAAGTTTTAGGGTACATGTGCACAATGTGCAGGTTAGTTACATATGTATACATGTGCCATGTTGGTGTGCTGCACCCATTAACTCGTCATTTAACATTAGGTATATTTCCTAATGCTATCCCTCCCCCCTCCCCCCACCCCACAACAGGCCTCGACATGTGATGTTCCCCCTCCTGTGTCCATGTGTTCTCATTGTTCAGTTCCCACCTATGAGTAAGAATATGCGGTGTTTGGTTTTTTGTCCTTGTGATAGTTTGCTGAGAATGATGGTTTCCAGTTTCATCCATGTCCCTACAAAGGACATGAACTCATCATTTTTTATGGCTGCAGAGTATTTCATAGTGTATATGTGCCACATTTTCTTAATCCAGTCTATCATTGTTGGACATTTGGGTTGGTTCCAAGTCTTTGCTATTGGGAACAGTGCCGCAATAAACTTACGTGTGCATGTGTCTTTATAGCAGCATGATTTATAATCGTTTGGTATATACCCAGTAATGGGATTGCTGGGTCAAATGGTATTTCTAGTTCTAGATCCCTGAGGAATTGCCACACTGACTTCCACAATGCTTGAACTAGTTTGCGGTCCCACCAACAGTTTAAAAGTGTTCCTATTTCTCCACATCCTCTCCAGCACCTGTTGTTTCCTGACTTTTTAATGATCACCATTCTAACTGGTGTGAGATGGTATCTCACTGTGATTTTGATTTGCATTTCTCTGATGGCCAGTGATGATGAGCATTTGTTCATGTGTCTTTTGGCTGCATAAATGTCTTCTTTTGAGAAGGGTCTGTTCATATCCTTCACCCACTTTTTGATGGGGTTTTTGTTTTTTTCTTGTAAATTTGTTGGAGTTCATTGTAGATTCTGGATATTAGCCCTTTGTCAGATGAGTAGATTGCAAAAATTTTCTCCTATTCTGTAGGTTGCCTGTTCACTCTGATGGTAGTTTCTTTTGCTGTGCAGAAGCTCTTCAGTTTAATTAGATCCCATTTGTCAATTTTGGCTTTTGTTGCCATTGCTTTTGGTGTTTTAGACATGAAGTCCTTGCCCATGCCTATGTCCTGAATAGTATTGCCTAGGTTTTCTTCTAGGGTTTTTATGGTTTTAGGTCTAACATTTAAGTCTTTAATCCATCTTGAATTAATTTTTGTGTAAGGTGTAAGGAAAGGATCCAGTTTCAGCTTTCTACATATGGCTAGCCAGTTTTCCCAGCACCATTTATTAAATAGGGAATCGTTTCCCCATTTCTTGTTTTTGTCAGGTTTTCAAAGATCAGACGGTTGTAGATATGCGGCATTATTTCTGAGGGCTCAGTTCTGTTCCATTGGTCTATATCTCTGTTTTGGTACTAGTACCATGCTGTTTTGGTTACTGTACAATTCAATTTTGGAGAACTGCTGCAACACTGTCAGCAAAAGTTGCTTCACACATTATACCCAAATCCTTCTCAAACTCTTTCAAAAAATAGAAGAGTGAGGAACACTTCAAACTCATGAAGTCAGCATTACCCTGATACCAAAGCCAGAAAAAGATACTACAAGAAAAGAAAACTGTAGACTAATATACCTGATGAATATTGGTGCAAAAATCTTCAACAAAATTCTAGGTTATTAAATCAACAGCACATTAAAAGGGTTATATACTATGACCAAGTTGGATTTATTCCTGGGTTGCAAGAATGTTTCAATATACAAAAGTCAATCAATGTAATACACCATAATAACAAAATGAAACACAAAAATCACGTGAACCTCTCAATGTAGAAAGAGAATTTCACAAAATTCAACACTCTTTTGTGATATAAAGTCTCAGCAAATTAGGTAAAAAAAGGAATGTACTTCAGCGTAATAAAGGCCATATATTACAAACCGCTGGTTAACATAATACTCAATGGTTGAATAGAAGTGGTGAGAATGAGCATTCCTTCCTTCCTCCTGATCTTCACCACTTCTATTCAGTGTAGCACTGAATGTCCCAGATAGAGAAATTAGACAAGAAAAAAGAAATAAAAATCCATTATAATGGCATCAAAAAATACTTAGGAATAAACTTAACCAAGGAAGTGGAAGACTTGTACACTGAAAATTATAAAACATTGTGGAAAAAAATTTAAAAAGGCACAGATAAATGGGAAGACATCTTTGTTCATGGATTGGAAGGCTTAATATTGTTAAAAATGTGCATACTCCTCAAAGTAATATAGAGATTCAATGCAATTGCTAACAAAATCCCAGTGGCTTTTCTTTCAGAAATAGATGAAACTTTCCAAAATTCATATGGAATCTCAAACGATCCCAAATAGCCATAGAATCCTTAAAAAGAAGAAAAGCATTGGAGATCTCACACTTCCTGACATCAAAATACACAGCAATCCTTCTGTAATCAAAACAATATGGTACTGGCATAAAAACGGACATACAGAACAATGGAATAGAATAGACAGCCCAGAAATTAACCCTTGCATATCTAGTCAAATTATCTTAGTCAAGGGCACCAAGAAAGCACAATGAGGAAAGAAAAGGATAGTCACTTCTGCAAATAGTGTTAACTAAATATCCACTTGCACAGCAGTGAAAATGGAATCTTACCTTAAGCCATGTACAAAAGTAAAGCCCTAAATGTAAGTCCTGAAACTATAAAACTACTAGAAGAAATGATAGGGAGAGGATTTATGACATTGGATTTGGTGATGACTTCTCATAACATCAAAATCACAAGCAACAAAAGCAAAAGTGGAAAAAATGGGACTATAACACCCAACACAGTGAAAAGGCAACCAATAGAATAAGATAAAATATTTTCAAACCATATATATGACAAAGGATTAGTATCCAGAATATATAAAAACACTTGCAACTAAACAACAGCAAAACTATCAAATATCCCAATTAAAAAATGGGCAAAAGACTTGTTTGGATATTTATACAAAGAAGATGTAAAAATGGCCAACAAACATATGAAAAAGATGCTCAAGATTACTAATTATCAGAGAAATGAAAATCAAAACCATATTGAAATATTACCCCATACTCATTACTATTATCAAAATCAAAAAAATTACAAGTGTTGGTAAGGATGTGAAGAAATTGAAATCCTTGCGCTTTGTTGGTGGAAATGTAAAATAGTACAGCCACTGTTAAAAAACAGTGTGGATTTTCCTCAAAAGATAGAAATAGAATTATATGATCCAGCAACCTCACTTCTGTGTATATATCCAGAAGAATTGAAAACAGGATCTCAAAGAGATATTTGTACATCCACGTTCATTGGAGCATTATTCACAATAGCTAAGAGATGAAAGCAATCGAAATGTCCATCAAGGAATGAATGAAGAAAAAGTGTTATATACATACTACGGAATTTCATTCAGCTTTTAAAAGGAAGGAAATTCTGTCATATGGTAAAACATGGATGAAGCTTGAAAATATTATGCTATGAGAAATAACTCAGTTTCAAAAATAATACTGTGTTATTCCACTTCTGTGAGATTTATGAAATAGTCAAACTTACAGGAAGAGAAAGTAAAGTGTGGTTAACAGTGTAAGGAAGGAGGAAATAGGAAGTATCTGTTCAATGAAAATGAGTTTGTTTGAAGATGAAAAAGTTCTAGAGATCTGCTGTACAACAATATGTATATAGTTAACACTACTGTATTGTACACTTAAAAATGTTTAAAATGGTAAATTTTACATGTTTTTTTCACCACAATAAAAATTACCACAAAATAACTGTGTTGTAAAGAGGTCTGAATTCTTGTCATTTCTTTGGAGAGCTGTTATGGAGTGCTGTTATGGAGGGTGCATGAGACAGTCTGTTTGATTTTTGATTTTTCTTTTCTTTTCTTTTTTTTTTTTTTTTTCTGAGACAGAGTCTCATTCTTATAGCCCAGCCTGGAGTGCAATAGCATGATCTCGGCTCACTGCAACCTCTGCCTCCTGGGTTCAAGCGATTCTCCTGCCTCAGCCTCCTGAGTAGCTGGGATTACAGGCACCCGTCGCCATCTCCGGCTAATTTTTCTATTTTTAGTAGAGATGGGATTTCACCACTTTGGCCAGGCTGGTCTTGAATTCCTGATCTCAGGTCATCTGCCCACCTTGGCCTCCCAAAGTGCTGGGATTACAGGCATGAGCCACTGCACCCGGCCTCATTTTAATAGTTATTCTACATCTTTATCTGTGTGTTGTTTATGTATTTATATATGAAATGTTCATTGAGCTGTATCCATTCATGATTTGTGCACTTCACTGTTTCATTTTTTCTCAATTAACATTAAAATAAACCACTGAAGAAACATAAAAGGATACCAATTAGAATCCAACAATGTATAAAAAGAATTATATACCACAAATATGTGGAATTTATTGCAGGTATGCAAGACTGGTTCCGTATTTGAAAATCAATTAATGTTTTCTACCACGTCAACAGGCTAAGGAATCAAAATTATATGATCATATCAATTGATGCAGAAAACGCAATTGACAAAATACAATAGTCATTATGATTAAAACTCTCAGCAAACTAGAAATATAAAGTAACTTGTACAACTTGATAAACAACACTTATAAAAACCTACAGATAACATCACAATACTATAAAACAACCTCGCTTAAAGGGGTTGGTCAAAAAGGTGCTGACAAGTAACTGAAAATAATTGTAGTCTGAAAGACTGAAGGCAAAAGAATCTGCACATAAGCACTGTATTCTATTTAATAAACTGTCTTGCACAGAGGGGTGGGTGAACAATGCTGAAATTGTTATAAACATATTCTGTAACTGAATAAGTAAATGAATGGAGGATGATGGGAGCCAGGTTTCTCACTGGGGGCACAGGAGGTTATAAACAAGAAAAGAGGAGAAGGCTAGAATAAGCCTGTGATAATAAAATTGGAGATGTCACTATGATTTTTGTTTAACTTAATATAGATCCAGATGGAGATAGAAGATAGACATAAAATTGCATATAAACATGTCAGTATACACACATATATTTTCTTACCCTGTCACTTGAGAGGACCTGAAACAAAGACACCCCAACAGCAGTAAAGACACCTAGCACCCAGATCTTTGTTTCTAATATCATTCTGCAATAAAAGGGACAAAAAGTTTTAGAGAATTGACTGGTTCTAGGACTACACAGGACCATGTTATAAGTGCCAGAAACTGAGGAAGTACTAAACACACACACAAAAAATGATGGGGGTATGTCAAAGGACACAGGAGCCAACTAAAAAAGTTTGCAATAGCTGCCTTTGGAACAATTTGAGCAATCAAATAAATAAAGTAGTGTTGGATTATAATAAAAGTATGAAATAAATATTCATGACTCCACATTGATAGAAATAAATAACCAAACAAACAAATGGGAAAAAACAGACAAACATATTGTGCAGAAGAATTTCAAGTAATTTATGTAGATACTCTGCCATCACGAAATTACAGCATAACTGTCCACTTCTTAAGTGTCTTAAATCTTGATTCCCATCTAAAAAATATGGAATAAAAGGGGAAATGCAGGCACATTACAGTGAAGAAACCTGACAAATGCTACCTCTGCCAAGTGATCAAGACTAATATCAACAGTAAGTCCTATTGACAGTGTATACCCTTGATATATGTTGAGAATAGCACTAAATCTCTGTGAACTTCCTCCCAAGAACTCACAACCTTAGTCTGATCCTCAGAAAAACATCAGATAACTCCCAGTGAGGGTCACTCTAGAAAACAGTGGGCCAATACTCCTCAATAATGCTAAGGCCATCAAAAACAAAGAAAATCCAAGGAACTGTTATGATCTAGAGGAGGCTAGGAAGACATGGTGACTAAATGTATTGTGACAACTTAGTTGGTTGGGATCCTGGAACAGAAAAAAGACATTAGGTAAAAGCTAAAGAAGTTTGAATAAAGTGTGGACTTTGATTAATAATAATGTATTGCACTGGTTTATTAATTGTGACAAATGTAGCATATTAATGTAACATGTTAATCACAGGAAAAACTGCTGTTAAGGTTTATGGTAACTTTGTATTTGTAACTTTTCTGTAAACCTAAAATATTCTAAAATCAAAAATACATTAAAATAAGGTTTAAAAAGAAAAAAGTAGTTCAAGTTCTTTCTGTTGAAAAAATATCATAAAATTAATAGACTTCTTAAAAATTAGGCTAGATAAAAAATCAAAATAAAAATTATGTAAAGAACAGAAAATCACACTAATTGTTGTATTGACTCCTCTTTGCTCTTAACCTTTTCCCTTATTGCTCTCATTTCTGATTTTGTAAAATTCTCTACAGTGTTTCTTTTACTATTTTTTATAAAAAGTAAATTTAAAAAAGAATGAACTGATACATGCAACAGTATTATTGATTCTCAAAAACATTTTGTTGATTTAAAAGATCCACATATATACTGAATGATTAAATTTATTTTAAGTTATAAAATGAGAAAGCTTATTTGTGATTATAACAATCACAATGGTTGAGGCTTGGGGAATCAGAAGTTGACCACAAATTGTCATAAGAAAACCTTCTGGGATGATGCAATGTCCTGATAAGATTGTGGGTTACAAGTATAAATGTATTATCAAAACTCACCAAACTATATACATAAAATGTGAACATTTCACTGTATATAAAGTGTACCTCAATTTTAAACTACAAGTTATGTTATGCCCTATTACAAAGTAAAACTTTCCAGGATTAATAACATTTTTACAGTTTATAGATATTTTCTCACTTGAATGAAAAAACATGATAGTATGCATGTAGACAGCAACATGTTCATGGCCTTTATTTATATTGTAATCACCTATGTTAATGTACTTTGTGACCTTCAACTTTTCTTGTAATTATCAGGGTTTTTAAAAAAATTCCCTGAAACTCACCTGTTTTCCTCAGATTTCTCCAGTTTATGAGAAGATATTTTCAGTCAGTAATATAGGGGATATAACAGTATTAATAACCAACATTTTTAGACTATGTGAGCACAAGACGTGATTCCTTTGGGAGAATAATCAAAAGACAACCACATGTACTCAACATACTTGAATACATGCTGCCAGTCAACTTAATGTTTCATTATAGTAGTTCGAGATTCAGGGTGTGAATTTTGGGTAAAACATTTTTGTAAGTTACTATAGCAAAAATGTTTTTAGTGAGAATTCAGTTATGGACAAACACTTGTATTTTGATGGACCATAAAATTTATACTCGATTGTACAAATGCAGGAAAGTGCAAAAATGAGTGTCTGAAAAGTTTGTTTTGAAATTCTGATCTTGTGGGCAATCAAGTAATGCTGCTAGCTGGGGTGATGACAAAGATGGACTGTTGGACAAGAGAGAAAGGAAAGAAACTGAATTTAAATCACATTATTTTTTATCTGGATTTTAGGCCCGGAACAAGGAAGGTAGAAAGAAATTGGTATTTAGTCTCATTATTTTAACTTCAGCCTATTCAGATTGATAAACTGCATCTTCATGCTGGCAAGTGAAATAAGAAAAAGTAAAAAGCTTTTGAATCACATAGATTTAGGCCTTTTCTTAGCTCTAGTTTTTATTATTTATTTTGCATAAGGCAAGTGATAGCACTTTAATCTCTAAGACCAAGTTTTCTCACCTACAAAACACTACAATAATACTTACCATAAAGGATATTTTTGTGCATAAGAGAAGTAATGAGACAACCTAGCTCAAGTACCCAATAGAGTACTTATAATATACGGCAATCATAATTCTTTATCATTTTGGAGCACTCATTAAAAAATAAACCACTCCACAACTGGCTATAAAAAAAGAAAGCTCTTTGTGACACATTTTAGATTGTCTTTGGCTTAGAATAAACCCTAGGTTTCTTAAGTCTAAGAAACTACCAAAAATCTCATTCACAGTGATGAATATTCATTTAGTAAATATTTATTGATAGACTAAAACATTCAGCATCATGATGGGCATTAAAGATGAAGAAAATCTTTTCAGAATATAAAGTCAGTTAGATTTATAACAATAGATTGCATAACACTTCACTAT
Organism: Homo sapiens; assembly: GCF_000001405.40. Classification (NCBI taxonomy): domain Eukaryota; kingdom Metazoa; phylum Chordata; class Mammalia; order Primates; family Hominidae; genus Homo; species Homo sapiens. Next base: position 93,738,139 of record NC_000007.14, on the reverse strand, counting down.
CTAAAAAGTTTTCTTACGTCTAATCTCATATAATCCTTCCAACAACCTGATTGGCAAGCAGACAAGAGGACTTCCTCTGGCCAAAGTGGGAGAGTTTGGAAATCATGCCACTGGAACTAGAACCTAGAACCACTGATATACGGTGCAATGCCTCTCATTCCACTACACAAGCAATTGGTCTACAACCTCAAGACAAGCAGTTTATCAAAATACCATAATCTACTGTTTCATTTGGGATGTATGTAACTGAAAAAAAATCTGACTTAACTGGGAATTTATTGCTTATTAATAAGAGAATCATAGGTACGGCTAGTTCTAGGTGCAGTACCTCAGAACTCCAGCTCTGCTTTTCCTGTGATTCTCTTGTTCTTTCCTTCTTTGTATCTTAGATTCAACCTCAAGCTGGTAGCAGGATGGCTCCATCAGGTCTGGAAGGAAAGACATCCAGAGGCCGAATTGGGATAATCCTCCCTAAGGCCTCTTTCTCAAGGGATCCTCTCAAGCCTCATTCACCAACATTGGATCACAGGGTCACACAATTTCGTGGTAACTAGTCACTGGGAAAAAAATTAGAATAATTGTATTAATCTACTCATTAGAGCAAGGATGGGGTCAGATTCCCCTGAAACACATGCCTGTCTTGAGGAAAGATGTATACCTGAACAAATGCAGCATTTTTATTTTTAGGCAGATGGTAAATAACTTCAGTAATCAGGGTTTACCTAACCTAATACCCAACCTCCCTTTGGACATGCTCCAGTTAAATGTATTTTTTCTACTTTTATCAATGGGGTACTAAACACACTTGATTTCAGTTGTGAAGAGCAGTTGATAAGCATTAGTGGATCAGATTTCTGAGTGAGATTGGAAAAAAAGATTGCAATCTGAAACCTGCTGCCAAGTAAAACACCACTTATTTGCCTATGGTTTGTGATGACTGACAGTAAGAATGAAAAAATTCCTTTTAAAAGAAAGAAATGAATAATGATGTTAGGTGTGGCAGGAGATGGGGTGTACAATTTCTTGAATTTCTGTTTCTGTTTTTGTTTTTTCATCTGAGGCTTTCTACATGTGTTTACAATTTGAAGGCTATTTTCTTGGCATGCCAGGGCAACTAATAACATTCTCTAAAAATGGTTAACAATTTTTGGAAATGTGCCTATTACCGTTAATGCAGTTTGACATAAGAGGGAATAGGGAAATTCTATTGCTTTTCCAAAACCGAAATCAGGGAGAGAACACCCAGCTCTCTCAGTCAACAGCAGGGTCCCATACACATAGTTGTCTGTATTATTAATAGAGTCATTACCCTCAAAGTGAATAGTCTTCTCAGATGAGTCTTAAGTCTCACTATCATTTGAAAGGGAGTAGCATTGCATTCAAATATAAGTTGCTGCTAGTGGTGTTATTTTTTATAGTCCTGTGTTAAACACTTGTGAAACTAAGAAATTATGGGATTTGATCCAGATTTTACCATGTTTCAGCTGCAAAGATGAACAACAAATTTCCACTGTCTCGTGACATTGAGTAGAATACTGAAAAACAAACAAACAAAAACAAAAACCCTGTTTTAACAAACAGTTTCTATCCCAAGTTGAAGAAGGTTATTGTTTTCTTAGGTTCAAGGAATGATATGACCTGTTTTTTGGTCTTATCAATCACCTTTAGCTATGGCAGCATTATGACTAAAACTATGTTTGTCACTATAGCACAAAACACTGTGTTAGCTACTGACTCCACATCTACCTTTTAAATTTCATTTAGAATTTATTTCTCTCCTGGAAATTTATTTTTGGTATATACCATTCCATGGGTGTTGCTTGCAATGATGATCCTAAACCTCTAGTTATTTCAAGCTACCAATTCCCACCCAACCATATACTCTGCTCTTTTGTGGTAGGATGGAGCTCATGAGATATGAGTACTCTATGTTTCTCCCTCTTGATTTCTGCATGTTCTGAGTTCTTTTTAGGCTGAGTTATGAAAGGAAGAAGCAACCTTCTCATTTTCATGGTTAACCTGGCTTCCCATGCCTTTGTCTGTATCCTCATGTCTCCTTTTCATTCGGCCCCTTATGTAACTTCACTGTCTTCCCCTCGTTAACTCTGTGCAATCTGTCTTCAAATTCACCAACTCATCCAAAGAAAGGAAAGGAGAGGGAAGCAACTCCATCTTCACTTGATGCTACTGCTCTCGCAACTAACTGTACTACCTTTCCTTTTGTAGTCAAAATTTTCCATAAAGTTCTTTGCAAGCATTGCCTTTACTTCCTAAAGCCTTCTTATTTTCTTATAATTTCAAATTCGGGCTTCTGTGTCACTTGAAACGTCTGGAGCATGCACCAAAGCCAAAAAGAATATGCCCATGAAATTTTTAAATAGAATTTAAAGAAGATGCATTAACAAAAAGAAATGTCTATAAGGAGTCTAAAGAGCCAAGGACCAAGAATTCAACAGCAAGTTTCCAGCACAATTCATCAAGTAATCTGTCTCTGTTATTTTCCCAGATAATACTGTAAAATTACAAAAAGATCAATCAATAGACCTTCAAACTTATCAGTGTCCTGTGAGTTTAAGTAGTATGTTATTTTCCCAGAAAACTCTAGGTGAAGCGCTACGTTTGATTTTCTAAACCAGAAAAGTCACCTTTAAAACTCTACCACCCAAAACTTTCTCCCTGCAAGTAGCCAGCCTATTTTTACTTACAGATCTTTATTCACTCAAGGAACAAAATTTCTAATTAGATATTTGGTAGTGTAGCATACAAAATATACTGTGTTTTGGATCATGTATGTCTATAGCTTAAACGGTATAGAATTTAATCAAAGCTATGTATCTCATATGAAATTGGAAATTCCACCAAATGTTAGTCTCTCAAAAGACATTGTCTTTGGGTATTAGTATAAACGAAAACAAATAGAACAATCAGTCCCTCCTCAAAAAGGTTATCTGGAATACAAATGTAGTGGAAATCAAGGTTCAATTGCTAATTCTAACTGCAAGATTTTCTTCCCAGACTTCAATATACTTCATTGTCCTCTGTTTGTGTTCAATCTCCACCAGCTGGTAATTGTTTTATGTGGTAGTCAAAAGGAAAAAAAATGGAAAAGAGAAAGTGAAAACAAAATGAAAGAGAAAAGAAATATTTTATTTCCAAACATGCATACAGGCTTTCATCCAACAAGGATTTTCTAGAATTTAAAGCAATGGCTTCCAGATTAACTGGCTCTGACTCCAGTAGTAGCTGGAAGCCAGTAGTAGCTTGTTCCATAGTTTGTGCTGCAAATATTCATCTTCTAGAAGTTATGAGAGGCAGCCTGCTAAGAAATAAAGAATCAAAACACCTACCAATAAGCTGTGAGCTTTCAGTTGAATTTCTTAACATTTCTTTCTCTCCATTTTCTATGAAACAAGGTCTAGATTCTGTAACATTTCATGGTTTCTAATGATTGCACTGAAAAGGCTGTACTTTGCATTCATGGTATACTTGAGGCTACAGCTTTAAAACATTGTGATATAGAGTAGTTTTTGCAATCAGATCTTGGGTCATTTACCAGCTACATCTAAGACAGCAAGTCACTTAAACTCTCTGAACCTCACTTTCCTCATTATAATATGGGAGACTTGCACTTGTGTTAATTAGAGGTATTATGGGGATTTAATTATACAACAAATGTTACTCCAATGGACAAAGTAAATATTCTGTAAGTGCAGTTTCCTTTACCATTGTCTCACACTATACTCATTCACTTATGATCTAAAAACAGTTTATTTGGGAAGCATTTACCAAATGCCTAGTTATATCATGCTATAGATTCTGGTTCTAAGGAAATATGTATTTGAGAAACTAGGAAACTAGAGTTTTGGTCTTCTTTTTATATACAGCATTAAACAAACCAATAACAATTAGACAATTCAAAATCTGAGTCTGCCTTCTCATATATAATTTGGAGATAATAAAATCCTCCCTAATTATAAGTAAACTGACTATATAATTTTTCACTAAGATGGAATACTTTTGAGAGTAAAAGTGAACCCTATTTATAGTTAGACCAGAACGTCATGCTATAACTCTAACTAGAAGGTTATAATAGTGCCAAATGAGAGGATGCATGCGAATTTGAAAGCCCTATGCCACCTACTGAGGAATTATAAATTTTATGCTAAATGGACAAAAAAGTCCAATTTTATTTCCACTATCCAAATCTTACATATTTTTTAGCACCCAACTTCTGTTGGAGTGAAGGTATTTAGAAGTAGAGGGATTATTGCTGAATGTTTTTCAATGTGTCTACCTAGATGACTTTAGCATCAGGGCATGGGATTCTATACCAAATTCACGTGTAAAACTTAAAAAGTCAGAAAAATAAAATCTCCTCTTAGTAATAAGCAACTATCTACAAGGTGAAAATGTATCTCCATTGAAATAGGTTTGTATTTCAATTATAAATTTTAAAATATCCTAGCAGATAAAGTTATAATGCAATTTTCTTCTGTAATATCTTTATTAGATTTTTTCAGTTTTAAGCTAATTTTTTGATTTCTAACATCAATGAATCAGTATAACACATAACACCTCAACCACTATTCATTTAAAAACAGAATTCTTAGAAACTATTATCAAATTCTATTAAAACAGCCTGGACCATGGTTATAATCTCATGTCCTTTATAGCTTTATATGAGAATACGATGTCACCCTTGAGTCAATAGCCAGCCATTGGCTTTGATTATAATCAAAATGACTGTTTCATGGGCAGTTCCATGGATAGGGAAGTTTTAATTTGATAGGATGAGGAGAGATCCAGACTGAACAAATTTTAATACAAGTTGTACAGAAAGATAACTGGCTGGAAGCACTGTTGTTCACAAAATTATGGCTGAAGAGACAGCATTCTCTCAAGCTATCGCAATTGTTACAGGCAATTTTCAAGGAAATTGTATTAGTAGTGATTTTAAAAGAAATGGCAGCGAAAGGTAGTTTCTTCTTTCTATTTAGCAACTGGTACATAGCTAAAAGGGAAGGAACAAAGGAGTACAAACCAGATATATTGTTCGTGCTTCCTATGTTTGCAGGTAGAGTTTCCAGTAATTGGCCATTCTTTTTTCAAGTCAACAATTATTTTGCTTGCTTTATGAGTGACTGGCCCAGTTCTAGGCACTGGGGTATGTGGGTGAAGGAAACCCAAAATTCCTTCTCTTTGTGGCATTAATGCTTTAACAGAAGACAGAAAATATATAAAATAAATAAGTAAATTATACAGTCTGTTTCTGTGTGATAAATGAACTAAAGAAAAATAAATCAGAAAATGTGGTTAGTGGTAGTGAATGGGAGGTAAGTGTTGCAAATTTTAAATCTGGTGATATGTAAAACCTCTCTAAGGATAATCTTGTGAATAATATAATACCTGCATGGACATAGGTATTGCATAAAAGTTAACGGTAAATTACTTCTCCATAATGTGCAAAAACTCCAGGAATAAATTCTACAATGGTTTGAAATGCAGTCAGTTCAGGAAGTGATAAAAAAAACGTTGACTGTCTAGGCTAACATTTCTCAAAGTGTGGATTATACCTGTACCAGTAACCTGAGGAGCTTATTAAAATGCTGATTCCTCACTCTTAACCCAGTGCTAGTGAATCAGCACCTTCAGGCAAGGGTCCTGGGAATATGTCATCTATCAAGCTTTTTGGATAATTCTGAGGCATTCTAAAATCTGAGTCTTTAGAATGTTTAATGTAAAAACAAGTCTCAAGCAAAAATCCGCCCATTTGCTTATTTAACAAATATTTTCTGAGTGTCCCCTCTTTGTGCTCAACTGTGTAATTGAAGGGTCTGTGGAGATGGTATCCATGCCTGAGATGGTTCTGATAAAATTTGGGCAACTATATACAAATAAGTTAACAAAAGAATATAAAAGAGGCTTATGATGGTCTGATGGATGTAATTTTAGTTTGGAGAGAGAGAGCTGAGGACATTGCTGATTTTTCTTTTCTCGTAGCTTGTGCTTGCAAAAATAATCTGTACATGGAAAGCCCTTGAATTCGGATACTATGTGCTGAAGTCTGTTTTTACTTAGTGGTCTCAATTGTACTCTAACATTGTGGTCAATGATGTAAAAACTCTTGTAGTTGCAGGAATTTCAAGGCATTAACACAAACATCCTCATTTGATTGTCTGTTTATTTGATAACAGTTATTGAGACCTACAACAGGCAAATGTTCAGAGTCTAGAGGAGGAGATAGAAGGTAAATAGATGGGTTTCCTGCAATGTATTAGAGGCATGTGTGCTGTGTTTTAGAAGGACAAGGATGAAGTCACTAACTCTACTTAGGAGTCTGGAGATATTTTTCACAAAAAAAGATGACACTTGGATTAGAACTTAAAGGATGAGTTAGACTTTATACATAAATGGAAAGAGAAGGATGTTCATGGTAGATGTAATAGAAGATACAGACATGCAAATGCAAAGTAGTAGAATTTTTACTCACACTACAACACAGCTTTGAGAAAACCACCTAGCTTCTTTATTTTCTATAACAAGCTGATAGCCATGACCACTGGACAATGAAAGACTAGCCAAAAAATATTACCAATTAACATAATTAGCTTCCTCTAAATAGTTTCTAAAAGTTTAAAACATCCTCTAGTGAATAAATAATCAAATGCTACAAGTTCAATTCCATGGCTGAGCCATTTCTCTCCTCCCATTCTCCTTCTAGAGATGGTAGCTGCGTGTAGGGGAGGCTTATGAACTGAATAGCAATGGGTGAGAGGCACTTCGGTGGTCTTCATGCTGGATTCTACATCAGGGCAGGTCTGATCCCTGTAGATTCTCATTCATTGCTGTTATCAGTTGAGGTATGGGAGTCTATACCATCACTGTACCTCCTTTGTGGTAAGAGCACTTGGCTTTATCAGGACCCGGTGGTCCTCCTTGATAACTTTGTTCTCACTGGCAGCATGGATACCCCTTGACTTCTGGCTTTCACTGTCCTTTATCACTGAACCAGGTAGCCTACCCTAAAGCTTTCAGCAAAAAGAGTGCCATTTAACTCCACTTCAGTGAACCCTTCTGCAAAGAGCTCTAACACTATACCCCCCTGAAAAATTATTTAAACCCTAAATGCCTCAATTTTATTTGTTAAATGGGGATAATGAAGTACCATCCTCACAGTATGATTGCACAGATAAAATGAGTTAATAAATATACTGCACTTAGAAGGGCACCTGGCATATTGCAGTTAATACACATTTGCTACTCCTATTACTTCTTCATTCTTTCCCATTGCCCCCTTTCTCTTTGTGCACATGGCACCCTGGGAGCCAGGAGCATGGCTTCAGGCTCACCTACAAGCTGCATCTTTCTGCTACAGCTACTCTACCTACCACATTGGCATGTACTCACCCTGCATGGTATTTTTCCTATATTTTGACTTTCTCCTCAAAGTAACAATCCCTCTTTCTTGTGACTTTGCTTTAAAGAAGAGAAGCAAAGGCACATGGAGATATGACTGCCTCTCCCTCTCGTTTCTTCTGCTTCCCATAAATCCAGGGCCAGAAGACATAATCTGTTCTTCCTTTTCATCTTGAAAAGCTATTTCCCTATATCATCACTTGAGACCTCTGTATGGTTTGGAGTGAAAATATATATTCAGAATCTCAAAACTGGCTCTTGGTGTTAACATAAGCTTAAATAAGTTTTTTTAAAAAACAATGTTTTTATTCCAAAACTTGCCTTTCAGAACCATTGTCTTACCATGAACTCCTCAAATTCTACTTTGAATGTCAAAATCTGCACACCAATTACATCTCTTTATCTTTTGAATCCCTTTTAAGACAAATAATGCCTCTTGAATAATAGTGAGAAAATCATACACAATGAAATATAAACCAAAAAAGCACATGTATATAGTTCAGAAATATTATTCCTATGTTCTGCATAATTATTAAAGGTTTTGATGTGTTCAAAAGCAGGAAAGTGATTAATTTGGTGTTAGAAGCGTATAATTGACATGTTCGTTTGTGAAAATTGGGGAGGGGAGGTGTTAGAGTAGAAAAGAAAATGAATAAGAAGGGGTAACTGATGAGGAACAAAACGCCAGTTTCAGACAAATTGAGAACACTGCCGTGCTAAGGAAATTTTCTTTCGGGTGAAACAACATTAAGGATTAAGTAGGTTATACATTTTTATGTCTATTTCATGTATTAGAAAACTAAAGCTCTAAGATATTGAGCTTTTCCCCTACATTATCGCTGTAATTGTCATAGCTAGGATGAAATTTCAGTTCTACTGATTTATAATCTATCTTATCATATTTTTAACTTCAATCAATTTCTTCAGAAAAGTTATAAACTGGCATTTTCACTTTTGAGATAAATGGGATAAATCCTATAAACAATTACTTAAATTGAAAACATTTCATTGCCTCTGAAATTCCAATGCCTATAGCAAAGCAAACCCACAAGACTGTGTTCAGTAAGATCTTCTGATATATTTATTGCTTGTCTGTTACTTACTGTCTTACTTGTTTTCACAGCTGGTAAAGACTCAGTGATTTTAACTATGATGATCTCAACTTGCACTTGTGTAGAGTCTAGATAGTGTTATTTTTTTGACCTATACAATTTCTGAAAATAAAAGTATAATTTTTAAAGTGTTTGCTGGATTAATTGCAAATCTTTGGTAGAGGTCTTTATGAATATATACTTTTACACCATGGTGTTGTTTAATCAAGACTTAAGAGATACAAGTAGCTCTAGCCACTTTTTTTTGGACTAACATGGGTCTGTCTGAAATATCATTTAGAATCATCTTTAGAGAAGTCTATTTGCTAATATTGCATGGGAGAAAATAAAGTCTTGCAATTAAATGATTACTTTTGATTCTGCAAACATCCAGCACAATCAATTCATGACAGAAAGAAAGTTCCTTATATAAATAATTTTGTTGCTGGTTTCATTGACACTCCAAATACTTCATTCATTAATACAAATATTTATTGAGTGTCTATTGTTTTTGCCACTGGGGATGCATAGGTGAATGAGGCAAACATTTTTTGTCACCCTGGAGCCTACAGTTGTAACAAAAGTTAGAAGGAAAAAAAAAACGGTACTGGAGAGAATCTCTAATGAATAAATCTTAACTGATATATCAGGGAAGGCTTCCACAGAGAAGTGATCTTTAAGCAAAAACAAAAACTAAGTAGAATTTATCCAGGTGACTAATGAGAGAGAGATAAAGAGATTCCCAGAGAGAGAGAGAGAGATGGAGATCGCCAGGAAAACAATATAGCATATGCAAAGGTTCTGTTTGGGGATAAGGGGAATTTCGGGAATTCAAGAAATAAAAAATCTGTATGGCAGATGCATAGTAAGGAGGAAGATAGGGCCAGATTATGCAGGGATTTATATACCAACTTAAGTGTTTTGAAATTTAAGAGGAGGAGAATATGACTGAGAAAATTAAACAGAATGGTGTCATGGTTGAGTTTTATTTTTAGATTACTTCAGATTAGCGCCATGCTGAATGCAGCTTCAGGAAGACACCATTCACATTCACCATTCATAAGAGGTCATGTGTCAGATAATATGTGGAGAATGGATCGGAGGTGATGAGAGTGAAACCAGGACTGTCATGGGAAAAGAATGCATTGATGTAAGCAAGAGATAACAATAGATGCATTTAGATGGTAGAAAATTAATGAAGAGGAATGGATGCATTTGTAAAATATTTAGAAGGTAGAATTAATAGTACATAATGTGTGGTTGGATATGGGAGCTGATTTACAGAAAACAGTCAACAGTGATTCATTGTTTCTTGGTTGGTTAGTTGTGGATGCTATTCTGGGAGAAGGAGCAAGTTGAAGGCTGGGTGTGGGGGGTTGCTCGTGTGATGGGAGGATCATAACTTCTGTTTGGGGCATGGTAATTTTGAAGTACCCATGAAATGTATGGTGGAGATTTATAATAGAATGCTTGATATTTTTTTCTAGAGCCTGGAAGATAAATTTGAGCTAGAGATATAAAGTTGGGAATAACCACTATATAGATGGAATTAAAGACATAGAAATGGTAAAAATCAGGCAGAACAAGTAAAGAGAGAAGAAAAGGGAGACAAGTGTGAAACCATCAGGACTCCTACAGTTAAAAGCCTAACAGAGGTAAAGTAGACAGGGAGATGGAAACAAAACTATGAGGGTGTAATGAAGTCAAGGGAATCAAATCTTTTAAAGCAAGGTGATTTTGTAGCTATGTCATAAGGCTGCTCAAGGCTAGGAAAAGTATCCTTTATATCCTTTGGTGTGGAAAACCTTTTCCACAGGTGTATCTAAGGAAGCAGTCATATTGAACTGAAATGAGGAATGAACAGAGTGTGAGGATGTAGGGATGCCAAGAAGTTTGACTATGAATTGAGTATACAGAAGCAAACTCATTTTCAATATAAATGAGTGGTAGAAGATCACCTGGAAGTGAGAAATAGGAAGAAAAGAGATTCTGAGCCCGCCCAGGAATTTGGTTTTATGAAGAAGGAGAAATAATTCCTCTACTGGGTTAGAAATAAGAGATTGGTGGAGAGACAAGTATGTTGGTAGATTTGGCCATCATAATTTTATTGGTGGTTGTTGAGGGTCCCCATTAATAGCTTCTGCTTTCTCTGCAAGGTGTAAGTTAAAGAGTTTAAGCAGAAAAATAGAATGGTGTCAGGGATTCAAAGAGAGCAAAGGATAGCTTGAATACTTTGTGTGGAGATAGTTGTCCAGGACACAATGCATTGCCAATTTAAATTGTCAAATAGTATTGGACTAACTAGAGTCAAAATAGTTAGAATTATCTTAAAGAAAACAGAAAAGCAGAATCTAAAATTCTCAGGCTTCCTGAAGATCCAGAAAATTGTTTTACTGTGCATTAAGTACACAGGGCCTGGTGTATGTCTGTGGTAGGAGGAGAGATGTGCACATGTATTTATGTGTATGAAAACACATACATTGGAAAGTACAACCCTAACTCAAGGTTATCTAGATAACTTTAAATTTCCAGATTGGAATAGTGATATTCATTAGCCAATTCTTAAAACTTATCCCATGAGAATGATTTGTGATTGTACCCTGTCAGTAGAATTGGGGTCCAGAATAAATGAAACCATTCTGGGCTTCTCACAACACCAAAATTGGTTTCTTGAGCATATTCAGAAAGATCATTGCAAGATAGAATTATTATTTTGAGCTCAGGCAACTCAAGCTTCCACTCAGACCAATTTGTTTGTAATGTAGAAAACAAATTAATAGTGCAGAGTCACTAAAAATTTACCATCTGGTAATGTGGTGAGTGACATAGTAAGTTAAGCATGTGTCAACTTACATCTCAGAGATAACCCCTATTTTGTGAGTCAATTAATTATTTTTCAAAAATGGTAGTGAAGAAGGTAATGACAATAATGATGCTCCATAACTCCAAATTCATAAGAATTATTCATTCCTTCCTCTGAATTTACCCAAAATATTATTTTTAACCCTGTTTAGGATATTATTTCAACTGCCCTGTACTGTAATTTGTTATTTGTATGTCTTAGTTTTGCACTACATTTTTTCCTGGATTTGAATGACAGTGTGACAAATGACTGTTTCTACTCGGTTTCTAAAATAATGTCCTACTCAATAATAAAGCTTATTAAATTATTCATTAAGCAATTATTATTTATTTTCTGCTGTATGCCAGATATTATGCCACACACTGAATAAACAGTGGCGAAACAAAATAGACACATTTCTATTCTCACAGAACAGTCTAGTGGGGGAAATAGGCATTAAACAATTAGATGCAGAACTGAATACACAATTGAAAATTTCGATGAATTACTGCGGAAAAGAACAGCATGGTTTGAGAGAGAGAAAGTGAATTAATTTTATGTTGACTGAAAACATTGAGGAAGTGACAAATAAGCCAGGGTTTCTCAACCCTGGAATTATTGACATTTTGTGCTGGACAGTTCTTTGCGGTAGGGAGGTGTCCTGTACATTGTAAAATGCTGAACAGTTTCCTGACCTCTACCTATTAGATCCCAGTAGCACCATCCCAGTTGCAACAACCAAATATGTATCAAGATAGTGCCGAATCACCCCAGGTACAGAGTCACTAATTTAAATGGAGACAAAATGCTTAAGAATTAGGCAGGAGAAATGAAAGTCAGAAGAGCATTATTCCAGGAAGAGGAAATATCACAAGAAAAGTCTAGGAGGTAGAAAAGAGCATTTAAATAACTAAAGGAAGCTAGCATGGCAGAAGTATATTGAATGAGGAAAACTTTAGTAAAAGGTGAGGCTGGAAATGAAGGCAAAGCATAGTTTTAAACAAGAGTCTTGTAGGTATTGTCAAGGAGTTCAGAATTTATCCTGAGAAATGGGAATGAATCTACGCGAGAGTCTTCAGTAGGAAAAATGACAAGATCAAAAGATGTAATTGATATTTTAAAGTATCTCTTTGGTTTCTCTGATAACAATAAACTGGAGAGACTGAGTGGAAATGAGGAGGGCAGCCAGGGGTTACTGCCATTTTTCAGGGTGGTGGTTTGAGCCAGAGTAAAGGATGAACAGATGGTAAGGAGTCAATGCATCAAGGCTATAATTTGGAAGAAGAAACGGCAGGACTTAGTATATAAATGATTGTTCAATGAAAGGTGGAATGAAGGAGAAGAGAATTATTTGAGACCTCCATTTATTTGTACATGTATATATTAGATTTGTGTGTATTTGCCTAAAATTTTGGTCAGTCTCATTCCTATGCCTTCATGTAGCTTAAAAAAAAAAAAACAAAAAAAAACAAAAACCTCTTCCCTATGATAGCCCTACAAACATATACTTTTATACTCTCTCATTTTTCTCATTTTTCTCAGTTTTCACCCCACCTGATCTTCTCTAAGGCTAAAATTTGAAGAACTTTCAGTAGCTCAGTTCATGGCACAGCTTGCCTCTCTGTTAACACACTCCTGTGTGCCTACGAAATGTCAGCATCTAAAACAGGATGGTTTGCTCCAAGCACTGTTCCTAAAAAGTATAAAGGAGAATAAATATGTTTCTCATAGAAATATGGTACAATTTTTTTAAGTTATTACTATTATTCATTATTATTAAGTGTAAGTTATTATTAATGAAAGCTTATGTCTTATTCACACATGCTGTTAAACCATATCTTTCTTACTATGCACATTTTCAAATGGAGTTATGCCTCTGAGTGTAAGATTTCATGCTTGCTGTCTTTATGACATGTTGTGTTTGTCAGAGTTTACTCAGAAAAACAGAAACTACTCTGTATTTCAAGTATAAATCATCATAATAAAAAGAATTGTAGACTTACAGAGAATTGAAAGGTTGAAGAGTAAAGATCAGCAAGATTACCACTAACAAGTCTGCATCCTGCCCTCTGGAAGAGCAGAGAAAATGCATCATTATGTCTACCTAATTATTTGGAGCTCCCTGTGAATTGAATGACTTTGGTGAGTATGCATATAAAATACAAATATCTTCACACTCTACTTATTCTGAGAAGTCCATTCACATATTAGATATAATATCTATCTATCTATCTATCTATCTATCTATCTATCTCTGACTTAAGTTTTCAAATCTTGTTTCTTCCAAACCATATCCTGAGACTGATACAGAATCACACCTATGAAAATTTCTTCTTCTGTACAGTGTGAACAAGCAAGTGTTCTGCTTGATGTTTTGCCTACTTAAAGAATTTTCCTTTCCTGTACTTTTTTTTTCAATGTAAAAAATTATAATAGACTATTTTTAGAGGAGTTGTAAGTTTACAAAAAATCTAGGTAGACAACACAGATGATTCCCATATATCCCTGTATTACTCAGCTAGGACTGCCACACACAAAAAGTACCACAGGCTGGGTGGCTTAAAAAACACAAATTTGTTTTCTGGTGAGGCTTGTTTTCCTGACATACAGATGGCTGTCTTCTCTCTCTCTCTTCGTGCAGCCTTCCCTCTGTACCCTTGAAGGGGAGACAGCAAGCCCTGACATGTATTCCACTACTTAGAAGACACCAGTCCTACTGGACGAGGGCTTCATCCTTATGACCTCTTTAACCTTAATTACCTCCCTAAAGCCTTGGAAGGCAACTTGGTATTGGCAGGGAGCCCTCCAGAGTGCTGGCCTCCTCTCTGTCTCTCTGCTCTTTGTGATAGGAGGACCCCTCCAGAGGTGCTGCTGTTCACTGAACTGCACTCACACACGAGAGAGCAGACTCTGAAGAAGGAACTAGCAACACTGATACCTTCAGAACAAAACCTCTCATGAAGTATATGCTATAAGCATCCTTGAGGAAGAAAGACATGTGTAGGCAAGGGCACTTTTATACCCATTGGGGATAGGCACAGGGAAGACCAACATTTCAGAGGTCTGGCACAGGAACTGATTTTTAAAATATCTTTGCATTTCTTCAGAGCCCCAAAACACTGCATGTGTCTTAGTGGCTGCCCACGCTCTGGCTGAGTGGGGCAAGCCAAGCCATCTTCTATGCCAGATGCTAGCAGGAAGTCAAAGCTCCTGCAAGAATGGGAAGGTAGATAACAAGGATCCCCTATATCACCAGGCAGTGGAGTAGATTTGTCCTCCTGCAGGGTATAGTGTTTCTATCAGACAGCTGAAGGACTCCTAGATATTGTTCTCAGGGAAGGAAACAAGCAAGCAAACATTCATTCCTGACTAGATGCTAACTTAACTGATTGCACTGAATTCTCCTAAAACCCTGTATTAATCAGTGTTAGCCTCTTTTCATAGAAGGGGAACTTGAAACTCAGTTTGAAAAATAAGCCTAGGTTTTCTCTGGTACAAAGTAATCTCGAACTTGGAAGTCAGGTAGCCTAGACTCCAAAAGACAAGATTTTTACCCTACTTGCAAGATATAGAAATATGAAGAAGAAAAGAGTTTGGAGATAAACATGTTATTTCAAGGCCTGGCTCTGCCGCCTCACCCTCTGTGTGACTTTAGGAATTGAAAGGAACTCTCTGAGATTCAGATAAAAATTGTTAACACCAGAAATAGAAATAAGGTGTTAGTGCCTGCTTAACGGAGATTCATGAGAAATAAATGAGGGAATGCATCAAATATTCTTGCCTCCCCCTTAATATACAGTAGGAAGATATTAATACTTTCCATGGATTTTAATAATGAAACAGCATGAGGAAGTGTGGACTGGGTGTCAGTAGGAAGGAGATGAAGAGACTGGCTTGAGGATCTATTTTTATTCTAGCATTTTAGGAGAGCAGAACAGAAGGAAGGTGAATTGAATTTTTTTTTTTTTGTAAAATAACTATACGAGACAAGTAGGAAGAAAGATGTAGATGGGAAAACTATTGTTTCTAGAGATACTAGATAAAAAAAAAAGGCCCCAACTTCACACTTGAGAAACGATGTTATTTAAATTTATTTTGATTACATACTTAAATTAATGACTTTAAAAATTAGCCTACCATGGTGGCACACACCTGTAGTTGCAGCTGAGGCAGAGGGATCACTTGAGCCCAGGAATTCAAGGCTCCAGTGCACTATAATCACAACCTTAAATAGCCACGGCATTCCAACCTAGGCAACATAGCAAGACCCTCTCTCTATTTCTCTTAAAAAAAAAAAAGCTTGCTTGTTTAGTATTTCAAATTATAGAAAGACACCTAGCATAATGAATAGGAAGGTTGTCTGAATATAAAGCAAACAAATACCTTGAATAAATATGTCTGGATTGAAATTGCATTGAATATATGTATCAGTCTGAGAATTGCCACGTTTTAGATGTTGTGTTTCCCTTCCACAAATATAATATATATTTCTTTTTAATCATGTCTTCTTTTATCTTCTTCAACAAAAAGTTTTATAATTTCTTATATAACCAAATTGTAGTTTTTATTAGGTTTATTTCTGGTAATGCTAGTAATTTTTGTTGCTAGTATGACTGAGATCATTTTTCTTTTCTTTTTTTAAATAATTTCAACTTTTCTTTTAGATTCACGGGGTACATGTACAGGTTTGTTACCTGGGTATATTGTGTGATGCTGACGTTTGGGGTATGATTGATCCTATCACCCAGGTAATGAGCATAGTATTCAATAGGTTTTTAACCCTTGTTCATAACATCTCCCCAACCACCCACAGTCCAGTCCCTTATAACCACAATTCTACTTTCTACTTCTGAGTAGATAGGGGAAATAAGTTCAAGAGATTTATTGTATAATTTGATGATTATAGTTAATCACAATGTATTATATTCTTGAAAATTAGTAGCAGAGTAGATTTTAGGTGTTCTCACCCCCCAAAAAATAAGTATGTGAGGTAATGCATGTGTTAATTATAATTAGCACTATTTAGCCATTCCACAATGTATACATACTTCCAAACATATTGTGCATAAGTATATACAATTTTTTCAATTAAAATTAATTAAGTATATAAAATTCATGACATTAAAAACGATAAAGAAAATCAATGAAACCAAAAGCTGGTTACTTTTTAAAAACTGATGTATTTCTAGCTAGGGTAATTAAGGGTGAAAAAAGGGAGACAAAGAAAAAAGTTAACAATATAAATAATAATGGATGCAGACATTAAAATGATAGTAAGAATATTAAGAACAACGCCATAACTATAAATTCAAAATTGAAAACTGCATACTACCAAAATTCACTCATGGAGAAATAGATAACCCAATTAAATTATTAGTTAATAACTTAAAAAAAAAAGCACCAGGCCCAGGTGGTTTCACTGGTAGATTCTTCCAGACATTAAAGGACAACATAATACCAATTCTACACAACCTCTTTCAAAAATACAAAAAAAAAAAAAGAATCTTTGCCACTCAATTTTATTAGGTCAGAGTTATCCTAATATCAAAACCAGACTAAAACATTACAACAAAAGAAAACTAAAGACCAATATCACTCATGAACATAGAAGCAAAGATCCTTAACAAAATATTTGAAATAAAATCCTGTAATATACAAACAGGATAATACCTCACAGCAAAATGGGGTTCATCCTAGGAATACAAGGCTAGTTCAACATTTATAAATAGATCAATGTAATTTATCATCTCAATGGACTGAAAAATAAACACTATATTATTATATCAATAAACAAAAGAAATTATTCGATAAGCTTCAAAACTCATTCATGATTAAAAAAAACTTGGAGTGAAGTGCAATTTTACCTTACCTACATACCTAACAAAGAGTATATATGGAAAACCAATAGCTACTATCATACTTAAGGCCAAGAGACTGAATGCTTTATCTTTAAAATCAGACCACAAGGCATGAATGTCCTTTCTCACTGCTCATATTCAGCATTATAGTGGAAGTCCCACCTAGCTCAATAATGTAAAAATAATATTAGTTATACATATTGCAAACAGATAAACTCTAATTGTTGGCAGATGACATGATAATCTATGTTGGTTTCACTAAAAAGCAGAGACTGGGTTATTCGTTCAAATTTCATAAACAAATAGTATTACGTTACAGTCTTTGTGTTTCTGAATAAACCAGAAGTCAGACATATGCTACTGGTAAAAGAAAGATGTTTGCTTAGGGTGAAAAGAGCGTGTTTACAAAGAATGTCTGAAAGGAAAAACTCAAATCCTCACTTCCCAGAATGAATACCAAGGTCTGTGGCCTTTAAAAAGGTGTTAAACTTCTTTGCACTCTGGGTTTCTCTCCAGAAATATTCTGTAGCCCTTTTGATTTATGCATTGTTTAGAGCAATAATATTGTCTGCAATATGCTTGGTGAGAAACAGCTGCTTCTCCAGTAGATGACATTATCCTCAGCTGTTGAATGAACATTCATTCCTAGAACACAAATAAGAATACCTAAGAATAGCTACATCCACACAACTGGCAATAAAAATGAAGGAAAGTAGTGATCATCTTTTTCAACAAGGTAATCTTTTTTGATGGAAAATTCCAGAAAAGCCATTCCACATGCAAAACCCCAAAACCTTAGCAGAGAAAGGTCCTTTCCAACACCTCACAAGATTGCTTTCCAAAACGTCTTTAATCAAAGCCAAGTGCTAAAGTTACACAAACACAGAGAAACACACTGGGCTGAGTTACACCTACAGTTTCTGCTTCCCTATAGAACTGGAAGTTCTTTCCCTGCTTACAGTTTCTAGCTTCTCAAATGAAATAGCACAACGCTTGGAGCCTGATTATTTTAGGAAAGGTCAAGTGAGCCCAAATGCTAATAGAATTTCATGAAACCAAAGAGATGGCAGCTTCCCAATTCTAGGTGCTAAGCTAAACACACTGGGGTTAAAACATAACCACATCCTTGCTAAGGAGAAAATGGTCAGAGTGGTCAGGCTTACTGTGTAAGCTGGTCATGTGATGCCCACACAGTTTTATGGTCTTCTTATCATTGTTACTGGTCTGCAGTTGGAGATGAGTCAGTGGATAGGAGTGGGAAAAGACTTGTCTCTCTCACACATAGAACCCTGAGGAAGGAGTAATCAGATTCATGTAAAAAATGAAGAGAGGAAAAGGAGAAGGAGTGTGCACTGTTAATTTTGGAACCCCAATTGGGATAACTCATCAATGCTCATCATCCACTAGCACGAAGCCTCATGGCTTTAACCATCATATATCCATGTGGTAGTTCCTTTGCCTGCCAGGATACGTACTCCAACCCCACACTCTATTACTTTCTCCCCATATCTAGTCATCCTTATTGCCTCACTCCTCTTAACTCTTCCATTCACCAAAATTTCCCCCACCTCCTCTCCTTTTCTAAGCTAGACTTGCTTCCTAGCCTCATTTTTAGAATTCTCCTTTCTCAAACGCCTGTTGCTGAGAAGGGAGAAGATAATCTTTAGTTTTGGAGGAAGGAGAGGTGGAAAAAGTCACTGAAATGTTGCAGTCTCCTGGTGGCAGATTATTATTTTCTTTCTTTCCTTCTGATAGTTACTTAAATTTTTTTTTAAATGTGTATTTTTAAGTCCTTTATTATGCTCGAAGAGTTTTTAAATTTTGTTATGTTTTTGTTCTAGTGAGGAAATATATTATATTGTAAAGTTAATTTTAATTATATTATCCCAATTTAGGAAATAATTTGTGAGTTTGTTTTCCTTGCTTGCTTGCTTACGGTAATTTGTGGGAAATATGTCATTCTATCACATCGATTAATTAAATATCCCTGTACATTTGTACATAGTAAAAAAAATTACTGAATAAAGCAAAT